>NC_000002.12:92702015-92879195 GCF_000001405.40 Homo sapiens
AGCAATGTCAGAAACTTTTTAATGATGTATCTACTCAGCTAACAGAGTTGAACCTTTCTTTTGAGAGAGCAGTTTTGAAACACTCTTTTTGTGGAATCTGCAAGTGGATATTTGTCTAGCTTTGAGGATTTCGTTGGAAACGGGATTACATATAAAAAGCAGACAGCAGCATTCCCAGAAATTTCTTTGTGATGTTTGCATTCAAGTCACAGAGTTGAACATTCCCTTTCTTAGAGCAGGTTTGAAACACTCTTTTTGTAGTATCTGGATGTGGACATTTGGAGCGCTTTCAGGCCTATGGTGAAAAAGGAAATATCTTCCCCTGAAAACTAGACAGAAGCATTCTCAGAATCTTATTTGTGATGTGCGCCCTCAACTAACAGTGTTGAAGCTTTCTTTTGATAGAGCAGTTTTGAAACACTCTTTTTGTAAAATCTGCAAGAGGATATTTGGATAGGTTTGAGGATTTCGTTGAAAACGGGATTGTCTTCATATAAACTCTAGACAGAAGCATTCTCAGAAGCTTCATTGGGATGTTTCAATTGAAGTCACAGTGTTGAACAGTCCCTTTCATAGAGCAGGTTTGAAACGCTCTTTTTGTAGTATCTGGAAGTGGACATTTGGAGAGTTCTCAGGAATACGGTGAAAAAGGAAATATCTTCCAATAAAAGCTAGACAGAAGCAATGTCAGAAAATTTTTCATGATGTATCTATTCAGCTAACAGAGTTGAACCTTTCTTTTGACAGAGCAGTTTTGAAACACTCTTTTTGTGGAATCTGCAAGTGGAAATTTGTCTAGCTTTGAGGATTTCGTTGGAAACGGGATTACATATAAAAAGCAGACAGCAGCATTCCCAGAAACTTCTTTGTGATATTTGCATTCAAGTCACAGACTTGAACATTCCCTTTCATAGAGCAGGTTTGAAACACTCTTTTTGTAGTATCTGGATGTGGACATTTGGAGCGCTTTCAGGCCTATGGTGAAAAAGGAAATATCTTCCCCTGAAAACTAGACAGAAGCATTCTCAGAAACTTATTTGTGATGTGCGCCCTCAACTAACGGTGTTGAAGCTTTCTTTTGATAGAGCAGTTTTGAAACACTCTTTTTGTAAAATCTGCAAGAGGATATTTGGATAGCTTTGAGGATTTCGTTGGAAACGGGATTGTCTTCATATAGAATCTAGACAGAAGCATTCTCAGAAGCTTCATTGGGATGTTTCAATTGAAGTCACAGTGTTGAACATTCCCTTTCATAGAGCAGGTTTGAAACACTCTTTTTGTAGTATCTGGATGTGGACATTTGGAGCGCTTTCAGGCCTATGGTTTAAAAGGAAATATCTTCCCCTGAAAACTAGACAGAAGCATTCTCAGAAACTTATTTGTGATGTGCGCCCTCAACTAACAGTGTTGAAGCTTTCTTTTGATAGAGCAGTTTTGAAACACTCTTTTTGTGGAATCTGCAAGTGGATATTTGTCTAGCTTTGAGGATTTCGTTGGAAACGGGATTACATATAAAAAGCAGACAGCAGCATTCTCAGCAAACTTATTTGTGATGTGCGCCCTCAACTAACAGTGTGGAACTTTTCTTTTGATAGAGCAGTTTTGAAACACTCTTTTTGTAAAATCTGCAAGAGGATATTTGGATAGCTTTGAGGATTTCGTTGGAAACGGGATTGTCTTCATATAGAATCTAGACAGAAGCATTCTCAGAAGCTTCATTGGGATGTTTCAATTGAAGTCACAGTGTTGAACAGTTCCTTTCATAGAACAGGTTTGAAACACTCTTTTTGTAGTATCTGGAAGTGGACATTTGGAGCGCTCTCAGGACTACGGTGAAAATGGAAATATCTTCCAATAAAAGCTACATAGAAGCAATGTCAGAAACTTTTTCATGATGTATCTACTCAGCTAACAGAGTTGAACCTTTCTTTTGAGAGAGCAGTTTTGAAACACTCTTTTTGTGTAATCTGAAAGTGGATATTTGTCTAGCTTTGAGGATTTCGTTGGAAACGGGATTACATATAAAAAGCAGACAGCAGCATTCCCAGAATCTTCTTTGTGATGTTTGCATTCAAGTCACAGAGTTGAACATTCCCTTTCATAGAGCAGGTTTGAAACACTCTTTTTGTAGTATCTGGATGTGGACATTTGGAGCGCTTTCAGGCCTATGGTGAAAAAGGAAATATCTTCCCCTGAAAACTAGACAGAAGCATTCTCAGAAACTTATTTGTGATGTGCGCCCTCAACTAACAGTGTTGAACCTTTCTTTTGATAGAGCAGTTTTGAAACACTCTTTTTGTAATATCTGCAAGAGGATATTTGGATAGCTTTGAGGATTTCGTTGGAAACGGGATTGTCTTCATATAAACTCTAGACAGAAGCATTCTCAGAAGCTTCATTGGGATGTTTCAATTGAAGTCACAGTGTTGAACAGTTCCTTTCTTAGAACAGGTTTGAAACACTCTTTTTGTAGTATCTGGAAGTGGACATTTGGAGCGCTCTCAGGACTACGGTGAAAAAGGAAATATCTTCCAATAAAAGCTACATAGAAGCAATGTCAGAAACTTTTTCATGATGTATCTACTCAGCTAACAGAGTTGAACCTTTCTTTTCAGAGAGCAGTTTTGAAACACTCTTTTTGTGGAATCTGCAAGTGGATATTTGTCTAGCTTTGAGGATTTCGTTGGAAACGGGATTACATATAAAAAGCAGACAGCAGCATTCCCAGAAACTTCTTTGTGATGTTTGCATTCAAGTCTCAGAGTTGAACATTCCCTTTCATAGAGCAGGATTGAAACACTCTTTTTGTAGTATCTGGATGTGGACATTTGGAGCGCTTTCAGGCCTATGGTGAAAAAGGAAATATCTTCCCCTGAAAACTAGACAGAAGCATTCTCAGAATCTTATTTGTGATGTGCGCCCTCAACTAACAGAGTTGAAGCTTTCTTTTGATAGAGCAGTTTTGAAACACTCTTTTTGTAAAATCTGCAAGAGGATATTTGGATAGCTTTGAGGATTTCGTTGGAAACGGGATTGTCTTCATATAAACTCTAGACAGAAGCATTCTCAGAAGCTTCATTGGGATGTTTCAATTGAAGTCACAGTGTTGAACAGTCCCTTTCATAGAGCAGGTTTGAAACACTCTTTTTGTAGTATCTGGAAGTGGACATTTGGAGCGCTCTCAGGACTGCGGTGAAAAAGGAAATATCTTCCAATAAAAGCTAGATAGAAGCAATGTCAGAAACTTTTTCATGATGTATCTACTCAGCTAACAGAGTTGAACCTTTCTTTTGAGAGAGCAGTTTTGAAACACTCGTTTTGTGGAATCTGCAAGTGGATATTTGTCTAGCTTTGAGGATTTCGTTGGAAACGGGATTACATATAAAAATCAGACAGCAGCATTCCCAGAAACTTCTTTGTGATGTTTGCATTAAAGTCACAAAGTTGAACATTCCCTTTCATAGAGCAGGTTTGAAACACTCTTTTTGTAGTATCTGTATGTGGACATTTGGAGCGCTTTCAGGCCTATGGTGAAAAAGGAAATATCTTCCCCTGAAAACTAGACAGAAGCATTCTCAGAAACTTATTTGTGATGTGCGCCCTCAACTAACAGTGTTGAAGCTTTCTTTTGATAGAGCAGTTTTGAAACACTCTTTTTGTAATATCTGCAAGAGGATATTTGGATAGCTTTGAGGATTTCGTTGGAAACGGGATTGTCTTCATATAAACTCTAGACAGAAGCATTCTCAGAAGCTTCATTGGGATGTTTCAATTGAAGTCACAGTGTTGAACAGTCCCTTTCATAGAGCAGGTTTGAAACACTCTTTTTGTAGTATCTGGAAGTGGACATTTGGAGAGATCTCAGGAATACGGTGATAAAGGAAATATCTTCCAATAAAAGCTAGATAGAAGCAATGTCAGAAACTTTTTCATGATGTATCTACTCAGCTAACAGAGTTGAAACTTTCTTTTGAGAGAGCAGTTTTGAAACACTCTTTTTGTGGAATCTGCAAGTGGATATTTGTCTATCTTTGAGGATTTCGTTGGAAACGGGATTACATATAAAAAGCAGACAGCAGCATTCCCAGAAAATTCTTTGTGATGTTTGCATTCAAGTCACAGAGTTGAACATTCCCTTTCATAGAGCAGGTTTGAAACACTCTTTTTGAAGTATCTGGATGTGGACATTTGGAGCGCTTTCAGGCCTATGGTGAAAAAGGAAATATCTTCCCCTGAAAACTAGACAGAAGCATTCTCAGAAACTTATTTGTAATGTGCGCCCTCAACTAACAGTGTTGAACCTTTCTTTTGATAGAGCAGTTTTGAAACACTCTTTTTGTAATATCTGCAAGAGGATATTTGGATAGCTTTGAGGATTTCTTTGGAAACGGGATTGTCTTCATATAAACTCTAGACAGAAGCATTCTCAGAAGCTTCATTGGGATGTTTCAATTGAAGTCACAGTGTTGAACAGTCCCTTTCATAGAGCAGGTTTGAAACACTCTTTTTGTAGTATCTGGAAGTGGACATTTGGAGCGCTCTCAGGACTACGGTGATAAAGGAAATATCTTCCAATAAAAGCTAGATAGAGGCAATGTCAGAAACTTTTTCATGATGTATCTACTCAGCTAACAGAGTGGAACCTTTCTTTTGAGAGAGAAGTTTTGAAACACTCTTTTTGTGGAATCTGCAAGTGGATATTTGTCTAGCTTTGAGGATTTCGTTGGAAACGGGTTTACATATAAAAAGCAGACAGCAGCATTCCCAGAATCTTCTTTGTGATGTTTGCATTCAAGTCACAGAGTTGATCATTCCCTTTCATAGAGCAGGTTTGAAACACTCTTTTTGTAGTATCTGGATGTGGACATTTGGAGCGCTTTCAGGCCTATGGTGAAAAAGGAAATATCTTCCCCTGAAAACTAGACAGAAGCATTCTCAGAATCTTATTTGTGATGTGCGCCCTCAACTAACAGTGTTGAAGCTTTCTTTTGATAGAGCAGTTTTGAAACACTCTTTTTGTAAAATCTGCAAGAGGATATTTGGATAGCTTTGAGGATTTCGTTGGAAACGGGATTGTCTTCATATAAACTCTAGACAGAACAATTCTCAGAAGCTTCATTGGGATGTTTCAATTGAAGTCACAGTGTTGAACAGTCCCTTTCATAGAGCAGGTTTGAAACACTCTTTTTGTAGTATCTGGATGTGGACATTTGGAGCGCTTTCAGGCCTATGGTTTAAAAGGAAATATCTTCCCCTGAAAACTAGACAGAAGCATTCCCAGAATCTTCTTTGTGATGTTTGCATTCAAGTCACAGAGTTGAACATTCCCTTTCATAGAGCAGGTTTGAAACACTCTTTTTATAGTATCTGGATGTGGACATTTGGAGGGCTTTCAGGCCTATGGTGAAAAAGGAAATATATTCTCCTGAAAACTAGACAGAAGCATTCTCAGAATCTTATTTGTGATGTGCGCCCTCAGCTAACAGTGTTGAAGCTTTCTTTTGATAGAGCAGTTTTTAAACAGTCTTTTTGTAAAATCTGCAAGAGGATATTTGGATAGCTTTGAGGATTTCATTGGAAACGGGATTTTCTTCATATAAACTCAAGACAGAAGCATTCTCAGAAGCTTCATTGGGATGTTTCAATTGAAGTCACAGTGTTGAAAAGTCCCTTTCATAGAGCAGGTTTGAAACACTCTTTTTGTAGTATCTGGAAGTGGACATTTGGAGCGCTCTCAGGACTGCGGTGAAAAAGGAACTATCTTCCAATAAAAGCTAGATAGAAGCAATGTCAGAAACTTTTTCATGATGTATCTACTCAGCTAACAGAGTTGAACCTTTCTTTTGAGAGAGCAGTTTTGAAACACTCTTTTTGTGGAATCTGCAAGTGGATACTTGTCTAGCTTTGAGGATTTCGTTGGAAACGGGATTACATATATAAAGCAGACAGCAGCATTCCCAGAATCTTCTTTGTGATGTTTGCATTCAAGTCACAGAGTTGAACATTCCCTTTCATAGAGCAGGTTTGAAACACTCTTTTTGTAGTATCTGGATGTGGACATTTGGAGCGCTTTCAGGCCTATGGTGAAAAAGGAAATATCTTCCCCTGAAAACTAGACAGAAGCATTCTCAGAAACTTATTTGTGATGTGCGCCCTCAACTAACAGTGTTGAAGCTTTCTTTTGATAGAGCAGTTTTGAAACACTCTTTTTGTAATATCTGCAAGAGGATATTTGGATAGCTTTGAGGATTTCGTTGGAAACGGGATTGTCTTCATATAAACTCTAGACAGAAGCATTCTCAGAAGCTTCATTGGGATGTTTCAATTGAAGTCACAGTGTTGAACAGTCCCTTTCATAGAGCAGGTTTGAAACACTCTTTTTGTAGTATCTGGAAGTGGACATTTGGAGAGATCTCAGGACTACGGTGAAAAAGGAAATATCTTCCAATAAAAGCTAGATAGAAGCAATGTCAGAAACTTTTTCATGATGTATCTACTCAGCTAACAGAGTTGAACCTTTCCTTTGAGAGAGCAGTTTTGAAACACTCTTTTTGTGGAATCTGCAAGTGGATATTTGTCTAGCTTTGAGGATTTCGTTGGAAACGGGATTACATATAAAAAGCAGACAGCAGCATTCCCAGTAACTTCTTTCTGATGTTTGCATTCAAGTCACAGAGTTGAACGTTCCCTTTCATAGAGCAGGTTTGAAACACTCTTTTTGAAGTATCTGGATGTGGACATTTGGAGCGCTTTCAGGCCTATGGTGAAAAAGGAAATATCTTCCCCTGAAAACTAGACAGAAGCATTCTCAGAAACTTATTTGTGATGTGCGCCCTCAACTAACAGTGTTGAAGCTTTCTTTTGATAGAGCAGTTTTGAAACACTCTTTTTGTAATATCTGCAAGAGGATATTTGGATAGCTTTGAGGATTTCGTTGGAAACGGGATTGTCTTCATATAAACTCTAGACAGAAGCATTCTCAGAAGCTTCATTGGGATGTTTAAATTGAAGTCACAGTGTTGAACAGTCCCTTTCATAGAGCAGGTTTGAAACACTCTTTTTGTAGTATCTAGAAGTGGACATTTGGAGAGTTCTCAGGAATACGGTGAAAAAGGAAATATCTTCCAATAAAAGCTAGATAGAAGCAATGTCAGAAACTTTTTCATGATGTATCTACTCAGCTAACAGAGTTGAACCTTTCTTTTGAGAGAGCAGTTTTGAAACACTCTTTTTGTGGAATCTGCAAGTGGATATTTGTCTAGCTTTGAGGATTTCGTTGGAAACGGGATTACATATAAAAAGCAGACAGCAGCATTCCCACAAACTTCTTTGCGATGTTTGCATTCAAGTCACAGAGTTGAACATTCCCTTTCATAGAGCAGGTTTGAAACACTCTTTTTGTAGTATCTGGATGTGGACATTTGGAGCGCTTTCAGGCCTATGGTGAAAAAGGAAATATCTTCCCCTGAAAACTAGACTGAAGCATTCTCAGAAACTTATTTGTGATGTGCGCCCTCAACTAACAGTGTTGAACCTTTCTTTTGATAGAGCAGTTTTGAAACACTCTTTTTGTAAAATCTGCAAGAGGATATTTGGATAGCTTTGAGGATTTCGTTGGAAACGGGATTGTCTTCATATAAACTCTAGACAGAAGCATTCTCAGAAGCGTCATTGGGATGTTTCAATTGAAGTCACAGTGTTGAACAGTCCCTTTCATAGAGCAGGTTTGAAACACTCTTTTTGTAGTATCTGGATGTGGACATTTGGAGCGCTTTCAGGCCTATGGTTTAAAAGGAAATATCTTCCCCTGAAAACTAGACAGAAGCATTCTCAGAAACTTATTTGTGATGTGCGCCCTCAACTAACAGTGTTGAACCTTTCTTTTGATAGAGCAGTTTTGAAACACTCTTTTTGTAAAATCTGCAAGAGGATATTTGGATAGCTTTGAGGATTTCGTTGGAAACGGGATTACATATAAAAAGCAGACAGCAGCATTCTCAGAAACTTATTTGTGATGTGCGCCCTCAACTAACAGTGTTGAAGCTTTCTTTTGGTAGAGCAGTTTTGAAACACTCTTTTTGTAATATCTGCAAGAGGATATTTGGATAGCTTTGAGGATTTCGTTGGAAACGGGATTGTCTTCATATAAAGTCTAGACAGAAGCATTCTCAGAAGCTTCATTGGCATGTTTCAATTGAAGTCACAGTGTTGAACAGTTCCTTTCATAGAACAGGTTTGAAACACTCTTTTTGTAGTATCTGGAAGTGGACATTTGGAGGGCTCTCAGGACTATGGTGAAAAAGGAAATATCTTCCAATAAAAGCTACATAGAAGCAATGTCAGAAACTTTTTCATGATGTATCTACTCAGCTAACAGAGGTGAACCTTTCCTTTGAGAGAGCAGTTTTGAAACACTCTTTTTGTGGAATCTGCAAGTGGATATTTGTCTAGCTTTGAGGATTTCGTTGGAAACGGGATTACATATAAAAAGCAGACAGCAGCATTCCCAGTAACTTCTTTGTGATGTTTGCATTCAAGTCACAGAGTTGAACATTCCCTTTCATAGAGCAGGTTTGAAACACTATTTTGAAGTATCTGGATGTGGACATTTGGAGCGCTTTCAGGCCTATGGTGAAAAAGGAAATATCTTCCCCTGAAAACTAGACAGAAGCATTCTCAGAAACTTATTTGTGATGTGCGCCCTCAACTAACAGTGTTGAACCTTTCTTTTGATAGAGCAGTTTTGAAACACTCTTTTTGTAATATCTGCAAGAGGATATTTGGATAGCTTTGAGGATTTCGTTGGAAACGGGATTGTCTTCATATAAACTCTAGACAGAAGCATTCTCAGAAGCTTCATTGGGATGTTTCAATTGAAGTCACAGTGTTGAACAGTTCCTTTCATAGAACAGGTTTGAAACACTCTTTTTGTAGTATCTGGAAGTGGACATTTGGAGCGCTCTCAGGACTACGGTGAAAAAGGAAATATCTTCCAATAAAAGCTACATAGAAGCAATGTCAGGAACTTTTTCATGATGTATCTACTGAGCTAAAAGAGTTGAACTTTTCTTTTGAGACAGCAGTTTTGAAACACTCTTTTTGTGGAATCTGCAAGTGGATATTTGTCTAGCTTCGAGGATTTCGTTGGAAACGGGATTACATATAAAAAGCAGACAGCAGCATTCCCAGAAACTTCTTTGTGATGTTTGCATTCAAGTCACAGAGTTGAACATTCCCTTTCATAGAGCAGGTTTGAAACACTCTTTTTGTAGTATCTGGATGTGGACATTTGGAGCGCTTTCAGGCCTATGGTGAAAAAGGAAATATCTTCCCCTGAAAACTAGACAGAAGCATTCTCAGAATTTTATTTGTGATGTGCGCCCTCAACTAACAGTGTTGAAGCTTTCTTTTGATAGAGCAGTTTTGAAACACTCTTTTTGTAAAATCTGCTAGAGGATATTTGGATAGCTTTGAGGATTTCTTTGGAAACGGGATTGTCTTCATATAAACTCTAGACAGAAGCATTCTCAGATGCTTCATTGGGATGTTTCAATTGAAGTCACAGTGTTGAACAGTCCCATTCATAGAGCAGGTTTGAAACACTCTTTTTGTAGTATCTGGATGTGGACATTTGGAGCGCTTTCAGGCCTATGGTAAAAAAGGAAATATCTTCCCCTGAAAACTAGACAGAAGCATTCTCAGAAACTTATTTGTGATGTGCCCCCTCAACTAACAGTGTTGAAGCTTTCTTTTGATAGAGCAGTTTAGAAACACTCTTTTTGTGGAATCTGCAAGTGGATATTTGTCTAGCTTTGAGGATTTCGTTGGAAACGGGATTACATATAAAAAGCAGACAGCAGCATTCTCAGATAACTTATTTGTGATGTGCGCCCTCAACTAACAGTGTTAAACCTTTCTTTTGATAGAGTAGTTTTGAAACACTCTTTTTGTAAAATCTGCAAGAGGATATTTGGATAGCTTTGAGGATTTCGTTGGAAACGGGATTGTCTTCATATAAAATCTAGACAGAAGCATTCTCAGAAGCTTCATTGGGATGTTTCAATTGAAGTCACAGTGTTGAACAGTCCCTTTCATAGAGCAGGTTTGAAACACTCTTTTTGTAGTATCTGGAAGTGGACATTTGGAGCGCTCTCAGGACTACGGTGAAAAAGGAAATATCTTCCAATAAAAGGTAGAGAGAAGCAATGTCAGAAACTTTTTCATGATGTATCTACTCAGCTAACAGAGTTGAACCTTTCCTTTGAGAGAGCAGTTTTGAAACACTCTTTTTGTGGAATCTGCAAGTGGATATTTGTCTAGCTTTGAGGATTTCGTTGGAAACGGGATTACATATAAAAAGCAGACAGCAGCATTCCCAGAAACTTCTTTGTGATATTTGCATTCAAGTCACAGACTTGAACATTCCCTTTCATAGAGCAGGTTTGAAACACTCTTTTTGTAGTATCTGGATGTGGACATTTGGAGCGCTTTCAGGCCTATGGTGAAAAAGGAAATATCTTCCCCTGCAAACTAGACAGATAAGCATTCTCAGAAACTTATTTGTGATGTGCGCCCTCAACTAACAGTGTTAAACCTTTCTTTTGATAGAGTAGTTTTGAAACACTCTTTTTGTAAAATCTGCAAGAGGATATTTGGATAGCTTTGAGGATTTCGTTGGAAACGGGATTGTCTTCATATAAAATCTAGACAGAAGCATTCTCAGAAGCTTCATTGGGATGTTTCAATTGAAGTCACAGTGTTGAACAGTCCCTTTCATAGAGCAGGTTTGAAACACTCTTTTTGTAGTATCTGGATGTGGACATTTGGAGCGCTTTCAGGCCTATGGTGAAAAAGGAAATATCTTCCCCTGAAAACTAGACAGAAGCATTCTCAGAAACTTATTTGTGATGTGCGCCCTCAACTAACAGTGTTGAAGCATTCTTTTGATAGAGCAGTATTGAAACACTCTTTTTGTGGAATCTGCAAGTGGATATTTGTCTAGCTTTGAGGATTTCGTTGGAACCGGGATTACATATAAAAAGCAGACAGCAGCATTCTCAGTAAACTTATTTGTGATGTGCGCCCTCAACTAACAGTGTTGAACCTTTCTTTTGATAGAGCAGTTTTGAAACACTCTTTTTGTAATATCTGCAAGAGGATATTTGGATAGCTTTGAGGATTTCGTTGGAAACGGGATTGTCTTCATATAAACTCTAGACAGAAGGATTCTCAGAAGCTTCATTGGGATGTTTCAATTGAAGTCACAGTGTTGAACAGTCCCTTTCATAGAGCACGTTTGAAACACTCTTTTTGTAGTATCTGGAAGTGGACATTTGGAGCGCTCTCAGGACTGCGGTGAAAAAGGAAATATCTTCCAATAAAAGCTAGATAGAAGCAATGTCAGAAACTTTTTCGTGAAGTATCTACTCAGCTAACAGAGTTGAACCTTTCTTTTGAGAGAGCAGTTTTGAAACACTCTTTTTGTGGAATCTGCAAGTGGATATTTGTCTAGCTTTGAGGATTTCGTTGGAAACGGGATTACATATAAAAAGCAGACAGCAGCATTCCCAGAAACTTCTTTGTGATGTTTGCATTCAAGTCACACAGTTGAACATTCCCTTTCATAGAGCAGGTTTGAAACACTCTTTTTGTAGTATCTGGATGTGGACATTTGGAGCGCTTTCAGCCCTATGGTGAAAAAGGAAATATCTTCTCCTGAAAACTAGACAGAAGCATTCTCAGAATCTTATTTGTGATGTGCGCCCTCAACTAACAGTGTTGAAGCTTTCTTTTGATAGAGCAGTTTTGAAACACTCTTTTCGTAAAATCTGCAAGAGGATATTTTGATAGCTTTGAGGATTTCGTTGGAAACGGGATTGTCTTCATATAAACTCTAGACAGAAGCATTCTCAGAAGCTTCATTGGGATGTTTCAATTGAAGTCACAGTGTTGAACAGTCCCTTTCATAGAGCAGGTTTGAAACACTCTTTTTGTAGTATCTGGAAGTGGACATTTGGAGAGATCTCAGGAATACGGTGATAAAGGAAATATCTTCCAATAAAAGCTAGATAGAAGCAATGTCAGAAAATTTTTCATGAGGTATCTACTCAGCTAACAGAATTGAACCTTTCTTTTGAGAGAGCAGTTTTGAAACACTCTTTTTGTGGAATCTGCAGGTGGATATTTGTCTAGCTTTGAGGATTTCGTTGGAAACGGGATTACATATAAAAAGCAGACAGCAGCATTCCCAGAATCTTCTTTGTGATGTTTGCATTCAAGTCACAGAGTTGAACAATCCCTTTCATAGAGCAGGTTTGAAACACTCTTTTTATAGTATCTGGATGTGGACATTTGGAGCGCTTTCAGGCCTATGGTGAAAAAGGAAATATATTCTCCTGAAAACTAGACAGAAGCATTCTCAGAATCTTATTTGTGATGTGCGCCCTCAACTAACAGTGTTGAAGCTTTCTTTTGATAGAGCAGTTTTGAAACACTCTTTTTGTAAAATCTGCAAGAGGATATTTGGATAGCTTTGAGGATTTCGTTGGAAACGGGATTGTCTTCATATAAACTCTAGACAGAAGCATTCTCAGAAGCGTCATTGGGATGTTTCAATTGAAGTCACAGTGTTGAACAGTCCCTTTCATAGAGCAGGTTTCAAACACTCTTTTTGTAGTATCTGGATGTGGACATTTGGAGCGCTTTCAGGCCTATGGTTTAAAAGGAAATATCTTCCCCTGAAAACTAGACAGAAGCATTCTCAGAAACTTATTTGTGATGTGCGCCCTCAACTAACAGTGTTGAAGCATTCTTTTGATAGAGCAGTTTTGAAACACTCTTTTTGTGGAATCTGCAAGTGGATATTTGTACTAGCTTTGAGGATTTCGTTGGAAACGGGATTACATATAAAAAGCAGACAGCAGCATTCCCAGAAACTTCTTTGTGAAGTTTGCATTCAAGTCACAGAGTTGAACATTCCCTTTCATAGAGCAGGTTTGAAACACTCTTTTTGTAGTATCTGTATGTGGACATTTGGAGCGCTTTCAGGCCTATGGTGAAAAAGGAAATATCTTCCCCTGAAAACTAGACAGAAGCATTCTCAGAATCTTATTTGTGATGTGCGCCCTCAACTAACGGTGTTGAAGCTTTCTTTTGATAGAGCAGTTTTGAAACACTCTTTTTGTAAAATCTGCAAGAGGATATTTGGATAGCTTTGAGGATTTCGTTGGAAACGGGATTGTCTTCATATAAACTCTAGAGAGAAGCATTCTCAGAAGCTTCATTGGGATGTTTCAATTGAAGTCACAGTGTTGAACAGTCCCTTTCATAGAGCAGGTTTGAAACACTCTTTTTGTAGTATCTGGAAGTGGACATTTGGAGCGCTCTCAGGACTACGGTGAAAAAGGAAGTATCTTCCAATAAAAGCTAGATAGAAGCAATGTCAGAAACTTTTTCATGATGTATCTACTCAGCTAACAGAGTTGAACCTTTCCTTTGAGAGAGCAGTTTTGAAACACTCTTTTTGTGGAATCTGCAAGTGGATATTTGTCTAGCTTTGAGGATTTCGTTGGAAACGGGATTACATATAAAAAGCAGACAGCAGCATTCCCAGTAACTTCTTTGTGATGTTTGCATTCAAGTCACAGAGTTGAACATTCCCTTTCAGAGAGCAGGTTAGAAACACTCTTTTTATAGTATCTGGATGTGGACATTTGGAGCGCTTTCAGGCCTATGGTGAAAAAGGAAATATCTTCCAATAAAAGCTACATAGAAGCATTCTCAGAATTTTATTTGTGATGTGCGCCCTCAACTAACAGTGTTGAAGCTTTCTTTTGATAGAGCAGTTTTGAAACACTCTTTTTGTAAAATCTGCTAGAGTATATTTGGATAGCTTTGAGGATTTCTTTGGAAACGGGATTGTCTTCATATAAACTCTAGACAGAAGCATTCTCAGATGCTTCATTGGGATGTTTCAATTGAAGTCACAGTGTTGAACAGTCCCTTTCATAGAGCAGGTTTGAAACACTCTTTTTGTAGTATCTGGATGTGGACATTTGGAGCGCTTTCAGGCCTATGGTAAAAAAGGAAATATCTTCCCCTGAAAACTAGACAGAAAAGCATTCTCAGTAAACTTATTTGTGATGTGCGCCCTCAACTAACAGTGTTGAAGCTTTCTTTTGATAGAGCAGTTTTGAAACACTCTTTTTGTGGAATCTGCAAGTGGATATTTGTCTAGCTTTAAGGATTTCGTTGGAAACGGGATTACATATAAAAAGCAGACAGCAGCATTCTCAGAATCTTATTTGTGATGTGCGCCCTCAACTAACAGTGTTGAGGCTTTCTTTTGATAGAGCAGTTTTGAAACACTCTTTTTGTAAAATCTGCAAGAGGATATTTGGATAGCTTTGAGGATTTCGTTGGAAACGGGATTGTCTTCATATAAACTCTAGACAGTAGCATTCTGAGAAGCTTCATTGGGATGTTTCAATTGAAGTCACAGTGTTGAACAGTCCCTTTCATAGAGCAGGTTTGAAACACTCTTTTTGTAGCATCTGCAAGTGGACATTTGGAGCGCTCTCAGGACTACGGTGAAAAAGGAAATATCTTCAAATAAAAGCTAGATAGAAGCAATGTCAGAAACTTTTTCATTATGTATCTACTCAGCTAACAGAGTTGAACATTTTTTTTGAGAGAGCAGTTTTGAAACACGCTTTTTGAGGAATCTATAGGTGGATATTTGTCTAGCTTTCAGGATTTCGTTGGAAACGGGATTACATATAAAAAGCAGACAGCAGCATTACCAGAAAGTTCTTTGTGAAATTTGCATTCAAGTCACAGACTTGAACATTTCCTTTCATAGAGCAGGTTTGAAACACTCTTTTTGTAGTATCTGGATGTGGACATTTGGAGCGCTTTCAGGCCTATGGTGAAAAAGGAAATATCTTCCCCTGAAAACTAGACAGAAGCATTCTCAGAAACTTATTTGTGATGTGCGCCCTCAACTAACAGTGTTGAAGCTTTCTTTTGATAGAGCAGTTTTGAAACACTCTTTTTGTAAAATCTGCAAGAGGATATTTGGATAGCTTGGAGGATTTCGTTGGAAACGGGATTGTCTTCATATTAACCCTAGACAGTAGCATTCTCAGAAGCATCATTGGGATGTTTCAATTGAAGTCACAGTGTTGAACAGTCCCTTTCATAGAGCAGGTTTGAGACACACTTTTTGTAGTATCTGGATGTGGACATTTGGAGCGCTTTCAGGCCTATGGTTTAAAAGGAAATATCTTCCCCTGAAAACTAGACAGAAGCATTCTCAGAAACTTATTTGTGATGTGCCCCCTCAACTAACAGTGTTGAAGCTTTCTTTTGATAGAGCAGTTTTGAAACACTCTTTTTGTGGAATCTGCAAGTGGATATTTGTCTAGCTTTGAGGATTTCGTTGGAAACGGGATTACATATAAAAAGCAGACAGCAGCATTCTCAGAAACTTATTTGTGATGTGCGCCCTCAACTAACAGTGTTGAAGCTTTCTTTTGATAGAGCAGTTTTGAAACACTCTTTTTGTAATATCTGCAAGAGGATATTTGGATAGCTTTGAGGATTTCGTTGGAAACGGGATTAATTATACAAAGCAGACAGCAGCATTCTCAGAAGCTTCATTGGGATGTTTCAATTGAAGTCACAGTGTTGAACAGTTCCTTTCATAGAGCAGGTTTGAAACACTCTTTTTGTAGCATCTGGAAGTGGACATTTGGAGCGTTCTCAGCACTACGGTGCAAAAGGAAATATCTTCCAATAAAAGCTAGATAGAAGCAATATCAGAAACTTTTTCATGATGTATCTACTGAGCTAAAAGAGTTGAACCTTTCTTTTGAGAGAGCAGTTTTGAAACACTCTTTTTGTGGAATCTGCAAGTGGATATTTTTCTAGATTTGAGGATTGCGTTGGAAACGGGATTACATATAAAAAGCAGACAGCAGCATTCCCAGAATGTTCTTTGTGAAATTTGCATTCAAGTCAAAGACTTGAACATTCCCTTTCATAGAGCAGGTTTGAAACACTGTTTTTGTAGTATCTGGATGTGGACATTTGGAGCGCTTTCAGGCCTATGGTGAAAAAGGAAATATCTTCCCCTGAAAACTAGACAGAAGCATTCTCAGAAACTTATTTGTGATGTGCGCCCTCAACTAACAGTGTTGAACCTTTCTTTTGAAAGAGCAGTTTTGAAACACTCTTTTTGTAAAATCTGCAAGAGGATATTTGGATAGCTTTGAGGATTTCGTTGGAAACGGGATTGTCTTCATATAGAATCTAGACAGAAGAATTCTCAGAAGCTTCATTGGGATGTTTCAATTGAAGTCACAGTGTTGAACAGTCCCTTTCATAGAGCAGGTTTGAAACACTCTTTTTGTAGTATCTGGATGTGGACATTTGGAGCTTTTGCAGGCCTATAGTTTAAAAGGAAATATCTTCCCCTGAAAACTAGACAGAAGCATTCTCAGAAACTTATTTGTGATGTGCGCCCTCAACTAACAGAATTGAATCATCGTTTTGAAAGAGCAGTTTTGAAACACTCCTTTTGTGGAATCTGCAAGTGGATATTTGTCTAGCTTTGAGGATTTCGTTGGAAACGGGATTACATATAAAAAGCAGACAGCTAAGCATTCTCCGAAACTTATTTGTGATGGGCGCCCTCAACTAACAGTGTTGAAGCTTTCTTTTGATAGAGCAGTTTTGAAACACTCTTTTTGTAATATCTGCAAGAGGATATTTGGATAGCTTTCAGGATTTCGTTGGAAACGGGATTGTCTTCATATAAACTCTAGACATAAGCATTCTCAGAAGCTTCATTGGGATGTTTCAATTGAAGTCACAGTGTTGAACAGTCCCTTTCATAGAGCAGGTTTGAAACACTCTTTTTGTAGTATCTGGAAGTGGACATTTGGAGCGCTCTCAGGACTACGGTGAAAAAGGAAATATCTTCCAATAAAAGCTAGATAGAAGAAATGTCAGAAACTTTTTCATGATGTATCTACTCAGCTAACAGAGTTGAACCTTTCCTTTGAGAGAGCAGTTTTGAAACACTCTTTTTGTGGAATCTGTAAGTGGATATTTGTCAAGCTTTGAGGATTTCGTTGGAAACGGGATTACATATAAAAAGCAGACAGCAGCATTCCCAGAAACTTCTTTGTGATGTTTGCATTCAAGTCACAGAGTTGAACTTTCCCTTTCATAGAGCAGGTTTGAAACACTCTTTTTGTAGTATCTGGATGTGGACATTTGGAGCGCTTTCAGGCCTATGGTAAAAAAGGAAATATCTTCCCCTGAAAACTAGACAGAAGCATTCTCAGAATCTTATTTGTGATGTGCGCCCTCAACTAACAGTGTTGAAGCTTTCTTTTGATAGAGCAGTTTTGAAACACTCTTTTTGTAAAATCTGCAAGAGGATATTTGGATAGCTTTGAGGATTTCGTTGGAAACGGGATTGTCTTCATATAAACTCTAGACAGAAGCATTCTCAGAAGCTTCATTGGGATGTTTCAATTGAAGTCACAGTGTTGAACAGTCCCTTTCATAGAGCAGGTTTGAAACACTCTTTTTGTAGTATCTGGATGTGGACATTTGGAGCGCTTTCAGGCCTATGGTGAAAAAGGAAATATCTTCCCCTGAAAACTAGACAGAAGCATTCTCAGAAACTTATTTGTGATGTGCGCCCTCAACTAACAGTGTTGAAGCATTCTTTTGATAGAGCAGTTTTGAAACACTCTTTTTGTGGAATCTGCAAGTGGATATTTGTCTAGCTTTGAGGATTTCGTTGGAAACGGGATTACATATAAAAAGCAGACAGCAGCATTCTCAGAAACTTATTTGTGATGTGCGCCCTCAACTAACAGTGTTGAAGCTTTATTTTGATAGAGCAGTTTTGAAACACTCTTTTTGTAATATCTGCAAGAGAATATTTGGATAGCTTTGAGGATTTCGTTGGAAACGGGATTGTCTTCATATAAACTCTAGAAAGAAGCATTCTCAGAAGCTTCATTGGGATGTTTCAGTTGAAGTCACAGTGTTGAACAGTCCCTTTCATAGAGCAGGTTTGAAACACTCTTTTTGTAGTATCTGGAAGTGGACATTTGGAGCGCTCTCAGGACTGCGGTGAAAAAGGAAATATCTTCCAATAAAAGCTAGATAGAAGCAATGTGAGAAACTTTTTCATGATGTGTCTACTCAGCTAAAAGAGTTGAACCTTTCTTTTGAGAGAGCAGTTTTGAAAAACTCTTTTTGTGGAATCTGCAAGTGGATATTTGTCTAGCTTTGAGGATTTCGTTGGAAACGGGATTACATATAAAAAGCAGACAGCAGCATTCCCAGAAACTTCTGTGTGATGTTTGCATTCAAGTCACAGAGTTGAACATTCCCTTTCATAGAGCAGGTTTGAAACACTCTTTTTGTAGTATCTGGATGTGGACATTTGGAGCGCTTTCAGGCCTATGATGAAAAGGGAAATATCTTCCCCTGAAAACTAGACAGAAGCATTCTCAGAAACTTATTTGTGATGTGCGCCCTCAACTAACAGTGTTGAACCTTTCTTTTGATAGAGCCGTTTTGAAACACTCTTTTTGTAATATCTGCAAGAGGATATTTGGATAGCTTTGAGGATTTCGTTGGAAACAGGATTGTCTTCATATAAACTCTAGACAGAAGCATTCTCAGATGCTTCATTGGGATGTTTCAATTGAAGTCACAGTGTTGAACAGTCCCTTTCATAGAGCAGGTTTGAAACACTCTTTTTGTAGTATCTGGATGTGGACATTTGGAGCGCTTTCAGGCCTATGGTGAAAAAGGAAATATCTTCCCCTGAAAACTAGACAGAAGCATTCTCAGAAACTTATTTGTGATGTGCGCCCTCAACTAACAGTGTTGAAGCTTTCTTTTGATAGAGCAGTTTTGAAACACTCTTTTTGTGGAATCTGCAAGTGGATATTTGTCTAGCTTTGAGGATTTCGTTGGAAACGGGATTATATAAAAAGCAGACAGCAGCATTCCCAGAATCTTGTTTGTGATGTTTGCATTCAAGTCACAGAGTTGAACATTCCCTTTCAGAGAGCAGGTTTGAAACACTCTTTTTATAGTATCTGGATGTGGACATTTGGAGCGCTTTCAGGCCTATGGTGAAAAAGGAAATATCTTCTCCTGAAAACTAGACAGAAGCATTCTCAGAATCTTATTTTTGATGTGCGCCCTCAACTAACAGTGTTGAAGCTTTCTTTTGATAGAGCAGTTTTGAAACACTCTTTTCGTAAAATCTGCAAGAGGATATTTGGATAGCTTTGAGGATTTCGTTGGAAACGGGATTGTCTTCATATAAACTCTAGACAGAAGCATTCTCAGAAGCGTCATTGGGATGTTTCAATTGAAGTCACAGTGTTGAACAGTCCCTTTCATAGAGCAGGTTTGAAACACTCTTTTTGTAGTATCTGGATGTGGACATTTGGAGCGCTTTCAGGCCTATGGTTTAAAAGGACATATCTTCCCCTGAAAACTAGACAGAAGCATTCTCAGAAACTTATTTGTGATGTGCGCCTTCAACTAACAGTGTTGAAGCATTCTTTTGATAGAGCAGTTTTGAAACACTATTTTGTGGAATCTGCAAGTGGATATTTGTCTAGCTTTGAGGATTTCGTTGGAAACGGGATTACATATAAAAAGCAGACAGCAGCATTCCCAGAAACTTCTTTGTGATGTTTGCATTCAAGTCACAGAGTTGAACATTCCCTTTCAGAGAGCAGGTTTGAAACACTCTTTTTGTAGTATCTGGATGTGGACATTTGGAGCGCTTTCAGGCCTATGGTGAAAAAGGAAATATCTTCCCCTGAAAACTAGACAGAAGCATTCTCAGAAACTTATTTGTGATGTGCGCCCTCAACTAACAGTGTTGAAGCTTTCTTTTGATAGAGCAGTTTTGAAACACTCTTTTTGTAATATCTGCAAGAGGATATTTGGATAGCTTTGAGGATTTCGTTGGAAACGGGATTGTCTTCATATAAACTCTAGACAGAAGCATTCTCAGAAGCTTCATCGGGATGTTTCAATTGAAGTCACAGTGTCGAACAGTTCCTTTCATAGAACAGGTTTGAAACACTCTTTTTGTAGTATCTGGAAGTGGACATTTGGAGCGCTCTCAGGACTATGGTGAAAAAGGAAATATCTTCCAATAAAAGCTACATAGAAGCAATGTCAGAAACTTTTTCATGATGTATCTACTCAGCTAACAGAGTTGAACCTTTCTTTTGAGAGAGCAGTTTTGAAACACTCTTTTGGTGGAATCTGCAAGTGGATATTTGTCTAGCTTTGAGGATATCGTTGGAAACGGGATTACATATAAAAAGCAGACAGCAGCATTCCCAGAAACTTCTTTGTGATGTTTGCATTCAAGTCACAGAGTTGAACATTCCCTTTCATAGAGCAGGTTTGAAACACTCTTTTTGTAGTATCTGGATGTGGACATTTGGAGCGCTTTCAGGCCTATGGTGAAAAAGGAAATATCTTCCCCTGAAAACTAGACAGAAGCATTCTCAGAAAGTTATTTGTTATGTGCGCCCTCAACTAACAGTGTTGAAGCTTTCTTTTGATAGAGCAGTTTTGAAACACTCTTTTTGTAAAATCTGCAAGAGGATATTTGGATAGCTTTGAGGATTTCTTTGGAAACGGGATTGTCTTCATATAAACTCTAGACAGAAGCATTCTCAGAAGCTTCATTGGGATGTTTCAATTGAAGTCACAGTGTTGAACAGTCCCTTTCATAGAGCAGGTTTGAAACACTCTTTTTGTAGTATCTGGATGTGGACATTTGGAGCGCTTTCAGGCCTATGGTTTAAAAGGAAATATCTTCCCCTGAAAACTAGACAGAAGCATTCTCAGAAACTTATTTGTGATGTGCCCCCTCAACTAACAGTGTTGAAGCATTCTTTTGATAGAGCAGTTTTGAAACACTCTTTTTGTGGAATCTGCAAGTGGATATTTGTCTAGCTTTGAGGATTTCGTTGGAAACGGGATTACATATAAAAAGCAGACAGCAGCATTCTCAGAAACTTATTTGTGATGTGCGCCCTCAACTAACAGTGTTGAAGCTTTATTTTGATAGAGCAGTTTTGAAACACTCTTTTTGTAATATCTGCAAGAGAATATTTGGATAGCTTTGAGGATTTCGTTGGAAACGGGATTGTCTTCATATAAACTCTAGAAAGAAGCATTCTCAGAAGCTTCATTGGGATGTTTCAATTGAAGTCACAGTGTTGAACAGTCCCTTTCATAGAGCAGGTTTGAAACACTCTTTTTGCAGCATCTGGAAGTGGACATTTGGAGCGTTCTCAGGACTACGGTGAAAAAGGAAATATCTTCCAATAAAAGCTAGATAGAAGCAATGTCAGAATCTTTTTCATGATGTATCTACTCAGGTAACAGAGTTGAACCTTTCTTTTGAGAGAGCAGTTTTGAAACACTCTTTTTGTGGAATCTGCAAGTGGATATTTGTCTAGCTTTGAGGATTTCGTTGGAAACGGGATTACATATAAAAAGCAGACAGCAGCATTCCCAGAAACTTCTTTGTGAAGTCTGCATTCAAGTCACAGGGTTGAACATTCACTTTCATAGAGCAGGTTTGAAACACTCTTTTTGTAGTATCTGTATGTGGACATTTGCAGCGCTTTCAGGCCTATGGTGAAAAAGGAAATATCTTCCCCTGAAAACTAGACAGAAGCATTCTCAGAATCTTATTTGTGATGTGCGCCCTCAACTAACAGTGTTGAAGCTTTCTTTTGATAGAGCAGTTTTGAAACACTCTTTTTGTAAAATCTGCAAGAGGATATTTGGATAGCTTTGAGGATTTCGTTGGAAACGGGATTGTCTTCATATAAACTCTAGACAGAAGCATTCTCAGAAGCGTCATTGGGATGTTTCAATTGAAGTCACAGTGTTGAACAGTCCCTTTCATAGAGCAGGTTTGAAACACTCTTTTTGTAGTATCTGGATGTGGACATTTGGAGCGCTTTCAGGCCTATGGTTTAAAAGGAAATATCTTCCCCTGAAAACTAGACAGAAGCATTCTCAGAAACTTATTTGTGATGTGCGCCCTCAACTAACAGTGTTGAAGCTTTCTTTTGATAGAGCAGTTTTGAAACACTCTTTTTGTGGAATCTGCAAGTGGATATTTGTCTAGCTTTGAGGATTTCGTTGGAAACGGGATTACATATAAAAAGCAGACAGCAGCATTCCCAGTAACTTCTTTGTGATGTTTGCATTCACGTCACAGAGTTGAACATTCCCTTTCATAGAGCAGGTTTGAAACACTCTTTTTGTAGTATCTGGATGTGGACATTTGGAGCGCTTTCAGGCCTATGGTGAAAAAGGAAATATCTTCTCCTGAAAACTATACAGAAGCATTCTCAGAAGCTTCATTGGGATGTTTCAATTGAAGTCACAGTGTTGAACAGTCCCTTTCATAGAGCAGGTTTGAAACACTCTTTTTGTAGTATCTGGAAGTGGACATTTGGAGAGATCTCAGGAATACGGTGATAAAGGAAATATCTTCCAATAAAAGCTAGATAGAAGCAATGTCAGAAACTTTTTCATGATGTATCTACTCAGCTAACAGAGTTGAACCTTTCTTTTGAGAGAGCAGTTTTGAAACACTCTTTTTGTGGAATCTGCAAGTGGATATTTGTCTAGATTTGAGGACTTCGTTGGAAACGGGATTACATATAAAAAGCAGACAGCAGCATTCCCAGTAACTTCTTTGTGATGTTTGCATTCAAGTCACAGAGTTGAACATTCCCTTTCATAGAGCAGGTTTGAAACACTTTTTTTGTAGTATCTGGATGTGGACATTTGGAGCGCTTTCAGGCCTATGGTGAAAAAGGAAATATCTTCCAATAAAAGCTACATAAAAGCAATGTCAGAAACTTTTTCATGATGTATCTACTCAGCTAACAGAGTTGAACCTTTCTTTTGAGAGAGCAGTTTTGAAACACTCTTTTTGTGGAATCTGGAAGTGGATATTTGTCTAGTTTTGAGGATTTCGTTGGAAACGGGATTACATATAAAAAGCAGACAGCAGCATTCCCAGTAACTTCTTTGTGATGTTTGCATTCAAGTCACAGAGTTGAACATTCCCTTTCATAGAGCAGGTTTGAAACACTCTTTTTGTAGTATCTGGATGTGGACGTTTGGAGCGCTTTCAGGCCTATTGTGAAAAAGGAAATATCTTCCCCTGAAAACTAGACAGAAGCATTCTCAGAAACTTATTTGTGATGTGCGCCCTCAACTAACAGTGTTGAAGCTTTCTTTTGATAGAGCAGTTTTGAAACACTCTTTTTGTAATATCTGCAAGAGGATATTTGGATAGCTTTGAGGATTTCGTTGGAAACGGGATTGTCTTCATATAAACTCTAGACAGAAGCATTCTCAGAAGCTTCATTGGGATGTTTCAATTGAAGTTACAGTGTTGAACAGTCCCTTTCATAGAGCAGGTTTGAAACACTCTTTTTATAGTATCTGGGTGTGGACATTTGGAGCGCTTTCAGGCCTATGGTTTAAAAGGAAATATGTTCCCCTGAAAACTAGACAGAAGCATTCTCAGAAACTTATTTGTGATGTGCGCCCTCAACTAACAGAATTGAATCATCGTTTTGAAAGAGCAGTTTTGAAACACTCCTTTTGTGGAATCTGCAAGTGGATATTTGTCTAGCTTTGAGGATTTCGTTGGAAACGGGATTACATATAAAAAGCAGACAGCAGCATTCTCAGAATCTTATTTGTGATGTGCGCCCTCAACTAACAGTGTTGAAGCTTTCTTTTGATAGAGCAGTTTTGAAACACTCTTTTTGTAATATCTGCAAGAGGATATTTGGATAGCTTTGAGGATTTCGTTGGAAACGGGATTGTCTTCATATAAACTCTAGACAGAAGCATTCTCAGAAGCTTCATTGGGATGTTTCAATTGAAGTCACAGTGTTGAACAGTCCCTTTCATAGAGCAGGTTTGAAACACTCTTTTTGTAGTATCTGGAAGTGGACATTTGGAGAGATCTCAGGAATACGGTGATAAAGGAAATATCTTCCAATAAAAGCTAGATAGAAGCAATGTCAGACACTTTTTCATGATGTATCTACTCAGCTAACAGAGTTGAACCTTTCTTTTGAGAGAGCAGTTTTGAAACACTCTTTTTGTGGAATCTGCAAGTGGATATTTGTCTAGCTTTGAGGATTTCGTTGGAAACGGGATTACATATAAAAAGCAGACAGCAGCATTCCCAGAAACTTCTTTGTGATGTTTGCATTCAAGTCACAGAGTTGAACATTCCCTTTCATAGAGCAGGTTTGAAACACTCTTTTTGTAGTATCTGGATGTGGACATTTGGAGCGCTTTCAGGCCTATGGTGAAAAAGGAAATATCTTCCCCTGAAAACTAGACAGAAGAATTCTCAGAATCTTATTTGTGATGTGCGCCATCAACTAACAATGTTGAAGCTTTCTTTTGATAGAGCAGTTTTGAAACACTCTTTTTGTAAAATCTGCAAGAGGATATTTGGATAGCTTTGAGGATTTCGTTGGAAACGGGATTGTCCTTCATATAAACTCTAGACAGAAGCATTCTCAGAAGCATCATTGGGATGTTTCAATTGAAGTCACAGTGTTGAACAGTCCCTTTCATAGAGCAGGTTTGAAACACTCTTTTTGTAGTATCTGGATGTGGACATTTGGAGCGCTTTCAGGCCTATGGTTTAAAAGGAAATATCTTCCCCTGAAAACTAGACAGAAGCATTCTCAGAAACTTATTTGTGATGTGTGTACTCAACTAACAGAATTCAACAATCGTTTTGAAGGAGCAGTTTTGAAACACTCTTTTTGTGGAATCTGCAAGTGCATATGTAGCTAGATTTGAGGATTTCGTTGGAAACGGGATTACATATAAAAAGCAGACAGCAGCATTCTCAGAAACTTATTTGTGATGTGCGCCCTCAACTAAGAGTGTTGAACCTTTCTTTTGATAGAGCAGTTTTGAAACACTCTTTTTGTAAAATCTGCAAGAGGATATTTGGATAGCTTTGAGGATTTCGTTGGAAACGGGATTGTCTTCATATAAACTCTAGACAGAAGCATTCTCAGAAGCTTCATTGGGATGTTTCAATTGAAGTCACAGTGTTGAACAGTCCCTTTCATAGAGCAGGTTTGAAACACTCTTTTTGTAGTATCTGGAAGTGGACATTTGGAGCGCTCTCCGGACTGCGGTGAAAAAGGAAATATCTTCCAATAAAAGCTAGATAGAAGCAATGTCAGAATCTTTTTCATGATGTGTCTACTCAGCTAACAGAGTTGAACCTTCCTTTGAGAGAGCAGTTTTGAAACACTCTTTTTGTGGAATCTGCAAGTGGATATTTGTCTAGCTTTGAGGATTTCGTTGGAAACGGGATTACATATAAAAAGCAGACAGCAGCATTCCCAGTAACTTCTTTGTGATGTTTGCATTCAAGTCACATAGTTCAACATTGCCTTTCATAGAGCAGGTTTGAAACACTCTTTTTGTAGTATCTGGATGTGGACATTTGGAGCGCTTTCAGGCCTGTGGTGAAAAAGGAAATATCTTCTCCTGAAAACTAGACACAAGCATTCTCAGAATCTTATTTGTGATGTGCGCCCTCAACTAACAGTGTTGAAGCTTTCTTTTGATAGAGCAGTTTTGAAACACTCTTTTTGTAAAATCTGCAAGAGGATATTTCGATAGCTTTGAGGATTTCATTGGAAACGGGATTGTCTTCATATAAACTCTAGACAGAAGCATTCTCAGAAGCTTCATTGGGATGTTTCAATTGAAGTCACAGTGTTGAGCAGTCCCTTTCATAGAGCAGGTTTGAAACACTCTTTTTGTAGTATCTGGAAGTTGACATTTGGAGCGCTCTCAGGACTACGGTGAAAAAGGAAATATCTTCCAATAAAAGCTAGATAGAAGCAATGTCAGAAACTTTTTCATGATGTATCTACTCAGCTAACAGAGTTGAACCTTTCTTTTGAGAGAGCAGTTTTGAAACACTCTTTTTGTGGAATCTGGAAGTGGATATTTGTCTAGCTTTGAGGATTTCGTTGGAAACGGGATTACATATAAAAAGCAGACAGCAGCATTCCCAGTAACTTCTTTGTGATGTTTGCATTCAAGTCACAGAGTTGAACATTCCCTTTCATAGAGCAGGTTTGAAACACTCTTTTTGTAGTATCTGGATGTGGACATTTGGAGCGCTTTCAGGCCTATTGTGAAAAAGGAAATATCTTCCCCTGAAAACTAGACAGAAGTAGTCTCAGAAACTTATTTGTGATGTGCGCCCTCAACTAACAGTGTTGAAGCTTTCTTTTGATAGAGCAGTTTTGAAACATTCTTTTTGTAAAATCTGCAAGAGGATATTTGGATAGCTTTGAGGATTTCGTTGGAAACGGGATTGTCTTCATATTAACCCTAGACAGTAGCATTCTCAGAAGCTTCATTGGGATGTTTCAATTGAAGTCACAGTGTTGAACAGTCCCTTTCATAGAGCAGGTTTGAAACACTCTTTTTGTAGTATCTGGATGTGGACATTTGGAGCGCTTTCAGGCCTATGGTGAAAAAGGAAATATCTTCCCCTGAAAACTAGACAGAAGCATTCTCAGAAACTTATTTCTGATGTGCGCCTTCAACTAACAGTGTTGAAGCATTCTTTTGATAGAGCAGTTTTGAAACACTCTTTTTGTGGAACCTGCAAGTGGATATTTGTCTAGCTTTGAGGATTTCGTTGGAAACGGGATTACATATAAAAAGCAGACAGCAGCATTCTCAGAAACTTATTTGTGATGTGCGCCCTCAACTAACAGTGTTGAAGCTTTATTTTGATAGAGCAGTTTTGAAACACTCTTTTTGTAATATCTGCAAGAGAATATTTGGATAGCTTTGAGGATTTCGTTGGAAACGGGATTGTCTTCATATAAACTCTAGAAAGAAGCATTCTCAGAAGCTTCATTGGGATGTTTCAATTGAAGTCACAGTGTTGAACAGTCCCTTTCATAGAGCAGGTTTGAAACACTCTTTTTGTAGTATCTGGATGTGGACATTTGGAGCGCTCTCAGGACTGCGGTGAAAAAGGAAATATCTTCCAATAAAAGCTAGATAGAAGCAATGTCAGAAACTTTTTCATGATGTATCTACTCAGCTAACAGAGTTGAACCTTTCTTTTGAGAGAGCAGTTTTGAAACACTCTTTTTGTGTAATCTGAAAGTGGATATTTGTCTAGCTTTGAGGATTTCGTTGGAAACGGGATTACATATAAAAAGCAGACAGCAGCATTCCCAGAAACTTCTTTTTGATGTTTGCATTCAAGTCACAGAGTTGAACATTCCCTTTCATAGAGCAGGTTTGAAACACTCTTTTTGTAGTATCTGGATGTGGACATTTTCAGCGCTTTCAGGCCTATGGTGAAAAAGGAAATATCTTCCCCTGAAAACTAGACAGACAAGCATTCTCAGCAATCTTATTTGTGATGTGCGCCCTCAACTAACAATGTTGAAGCTTTCTTTTGATAGAGCAGTTTTGAAACACTCTTTTTGTAAAATCTGCAAGAGGATATTTGGATGGCTTTGAGGATTTCTTTGGAAACGGGATTGTCTTCATATAAACTCTAGACAGAAGCATTCTCAGAAGCTTCATTGGGATGTTTCAATTGAAGTCACAGTGTTGAACAGTCCCTTTCATAGAGCAGGTTTGAAACACTCTTTTTGTAGTATCTGGATGTGGACATTTGGAGCGCTTTCAGGCCTATGGTTTAAAAGGAAATATCTTCCCCTGAAAACTAGACAGAAGCATTCTCAGAAACTTATTTGTGATGTGCGCCCTCAACTAACAGTGTTGAAGCTTTCTTTTGATAGAGCGGTTTTGAAACACTCTTTTTGAATATCTGCAAGAGGATATTTGGATAGCTTTGAGGATTTCGTTGGAAACGGGATTAATTATAAAAAGCAGACAGCAGCATTCTCAGAAACTTATTTGTGATGTGCGCCCTCAACTAACAGTGTTGAAGCTTTATTTTGATAGAGCAGTTTTGAAACACTCTTTTTGTAATATCTGCAAGAGAATATTTGGATAGCTTTGAGGATTTCGTTGGAAACGGGATTGTCTTCATATAAACTCTAGAAAGAAGCATTCCCAGTAACTTCTTTGTGATGTTTGCATTCAAGTCACAGAGTTGAACATTCCCTTTCATAGAGCAGGTTTGAAACACTCTTTTTGTAGTATCTGGAAGTGGACATTTGGAGCGCTCTCAGGACTGCGGTGAAAAAGGAAATATCTTCCAATAAAAGCTAGATAGAAGCAATGTCAGAAACTTTTTCATGATGTATCTACTCAGCTAACAGAGTTGAACCTTCCTTTGAGAGAGCAGTTTTGAAACACTCTTTTTGTGGAATCTGCAAGTGGATATTTGTCTAGCTTTGAGGATTTCGTTGGAAACGGGTTACATATAAAAAGCAGACAGCAGCATTCCCAGAAACTTCTTTGTGTTGTTTGCATTCAAGTCACAGAGTTTAACATTCCCTTTCATAGAGCAGGTTTGAAACACTCTTTTTGTAGTATCTGGATGTGGACATTTGCAGCGCTTTCAGGCCTAAGGTGAAAAAGGAAATATCTTCCCCTGAAAACTAGACAGAAGCATTCTCAGAAACTTATTTGTGATGTGCGCCCTCAACTAACAGTGTTGAAGCTTTCTTTTGATAGAGCAGTTTTGAAACACTCTTTTTGTAATATCTGCAAGAGGATATTTGGATAGCTTTGAGGATTTCGTTGGAAACGGGATTGTCTTCATATAAACTCTAGGCAGAAGCATTCTCAGAAGCTTCATTGGGATGTTTCAATTGAAGTCACAGTGTTGAACAGTCCCTTTCATAGAGCAGGTTTGAAACACTCTTTTTGTAGTATCTGGAAGTGGACATTTGGAGCGCTCTCAGGACTACGGTGAAAAAGGAAATATCTTCCAATAAAAGCTACATAGAAGCAATGTCAGAAACTTTTTCATGATGTATCTACTCAGCTAACAGATTTGAACCTTCCTTTGAGAGAGCAGTTTTGAAACACTCTTTTTGTGGAATCTGCAAGTGGATATTTGTCTAGCTTTGAGGATTTCGTTGGAAATGGGATTACATAAAAAAAGCAGACAGCAGCATTCCCAGAAACTTCTTTGTGATGTTTGCATTCAAGTCACAGAGTTGAACATTCCCTTTCATAGAGCAGGTTTGAAACACTCTTTTTGTAGTATCTGGATGTGGACATTTGGAGCGCTTTCAGGCCTATGGTGAAAGAGGAAATATCTTCCCCTGAAAACTAGACAGAAGCATTCTCAGAAACCTATTTGTGATGGGCGCCCTCAACTAACAGTGTTGAAGCTTTCTTTTGATAGAGCAGTTTTGAAACACTCTTTTTGTAAAATCTGCAAGAGGATATTTGGATAGCTTTGAGGATTTCGTTGGAAACGGGATTGTCTTCATATAAACTCTAGACAGAAGCATTCTCAGAAGCGTCATTGGGATGTTTCAATTGAAGTCACAGTGTTGAACAGTCCCTTTCATAGAGCAGGTTTGAAACACTCTTTTTGTAGTATCTGGATGTGGACATTTGGAGCGCTTTCAGGCCTATGGTTTAAAAGGAAATATCTTCCCCTGAAAACTAGACAGAAGCATTCTCAGAAACTTATTTGTGATGTGCGCCCTCAACTAACAGTGTTGAAGCTTTCTTTTGATAGAGCAGTTTTGAAACACTCTTTTTGTAATATCTGCAAGAGGATATTTGGATAGCTTTGAGGATTTCGTTGGAAACGGGATTAATTATAAAAAGCAGACAGCAGCATTCTCAGAAACTTATTTGTGATGTGCGCCCTCAACTAACAGTGTTGAAGCTTTCTTTTGATAGAGCAGTTTTGAAACACTCTTTTTGTAATATCTGCAAGAGGATATTTGGATAGCTTTGAGGATTTCGTTGGAAACGGGATTAATTATACAAAGCAGACAGCAGCATTCGCAGAAGATTCATTGGAATGTTTCAATTGAAGTCACAGTTTTGAACAGTCCCTTTCATAGAGCAGGTTTGAAACACTCTTTTTGTAGTATCTGGAAGTGGACATTTGGAGCGCTCTCAGGACTATGGCGAAAAAGGAAATATCTTCCAATAAAAGCTAGATAGAAGCAATGTCAGAAACTTTTTCATGATGTATCTACTCAGCTAACAGAGTTGAACCTTTCTTTTGAGAGAGCAGTTTTGAAACACTCTTTTTGTGGAATCTGCAAGTGGATATTTGTCTAGCTTTGAGGATTTCGTTGGAAACGGGATTACATATAAAAAGCAGACAGCAGCATTCCCAGTAACTTCTTTGTGATGTTTGCATTCAAGTCACAGAGTTGAACATTCCCTTTCATAGAGCAGGTTTGAAACACTCTTTTTGTAGTATCTGGATGTGGACATTTGGAGCGCTTTCAGGCCTATGGTGAAAAAGGAAATATCTTCCCCAGAAAACTAGACAGAAGCATTCTCAGAAACTTATTTGTGATGTGCGCCCTCAACTAACAGTGTTAAACCTTTCTTTTGATAGAGTAGTTTTGAAACACTCTTTTTGTAAAATCTGCAAGAGGATATTTGGATAGCTTTGAGGATTTCGTTGGAAACGGGATTGTCTTCATATTAACCCTAGACAGTAGCATTCTCAGAAGCTTCATTGGGATGTTTCAATTGAAGTCACAGTGTTGAACAGTCCCTTTCATAGAGCAGGTTTGAAACACTCTTTTTGTAGTATCTGGATGTGGACATTTGGAGCGCTTTCAAGCCTATGGTTTAAAAGGAAATATCTTCCCCTGAAAACTAGACAGAAGCATTCTCAGAAACTTATTTGTGATGTGCGCCCTCAACTAACAGTGTTGAAGCTTTCTTTTGATAGAGCAGTTTTGAAACACTCTTTTTGTGGAATCTACAAGTGGATATTTGTCTAGCTTTGAGGATTTCGTTGGAAACGGGATTACATATAAAAAGCAGACAGCAGCATTCTCAGTAAACTTATTTGTGATGTGCGCCCTCAACTAACAGTGTTGAACCTTTCTTTTGATAGAGCAGTTTTGAAACACTCTTTTTGTAATATCTGCAAGAGGATATTTGGATAGCTTTGAGGATTTCGTTGGAAACGGGATTGTCTTCATATAAACTCTAGACAGAAGCATTCTCAGAAGCTTCATTGGGATGTTTCAATTGAAGTCACAGTGTTGAACAGTCCCTTTCATAGAGCATGTTTGAAACACTCTTTTTGTAGTATCTGGAAGTGGACATTTGGAGCATTCTCAGGACTACGGTGAAAAAGGAAATATCTTCCAAATAAAGTTAGATAGAAGAAATGTCAGAAAATTTTTCATGATGTATCTACTCAGCTAACAGAGTTGAACCTTTCTTTTGAGAGAGCAGTTTTGAAACACTCTTTTTGAGGAATCTGCAAGTGGATATTTGTCTAGCTTTGAGGATTTCGTTGGAAACATGATTACATATAAAAAGCAGACAGCAGCATTCCCACAAACTTCTTTGTGATGTTTGCATTCAAGTCACAGAGTTGAACATTCCCTTTCATAGAGCAGGTTTGAAACACACTTTTTGTAGTATCTGGATGTGGACATTTGGCGCGCTTTCAGGCCTATGGTGAAAAAGGAAATATCTTCCCCTGAAAACTAGACAGAAGCATTCTCAGAATCTTATTTGTGATGTGCGCCCTCAACTAACAGTGTTGAAGCTTTCTTTTGATAGAGCAGTTTTGAAACACTCTTTTTGTAAAATCTGCAAGAGGATATTTGGATAGCTTTGAGGATTTCGTTGGAAACGGGATTGTCTTCATATAAACTCTAGACAGAAGCATTCTCAGAAGCTTCATTGGGATGTTTCAATTGAAGTCACAGTGTTGAACAGTCCCTTTCATAGAGCAGGTTTGAAACACTCTTTTTGTAGTATCTGGATGTGGACATTTGGAGCGCTTTCAGGCCTATGGTTTAAAAGGAAATATCTTCCCCTGAAAACTAGACAGAAGCATTCTCAGAAACTTATTTGTGATGTGCGCCCTCAACTAACAGTGTTGAAGCATTCTTTTGATAGAGCAGTTTTGAAACACTCTTTTTGTGGAATCTGCAAGTGGATATTTGTCTAGCTTTGAGGATTTCGTTGGAAACGGGATTACATATAAAAAGCAGACAGCAGCATTCTCAGCAAACTTATTTGTGATGTGCGCCCTCAACTAACAGTGTGGAACTTTTCTTTTGATAGAGCAGTTTTGAAACACTCTTTTTGTAAAATCTGCAAGAGGATATTTGGATAGCTTTGAGGATTTCGTTGGAAACGGGATTGTCTTCATATAGAATCTAGACAGAAGCATTCCCAGAAACTTCTTTGTGATGTTTGCATTCAAGTCACAGAGTTGAACATTCCCTTTCATAGAGCAGGTTTGAAACACTCTTTTTGTAGTATCTGGAAGTGGAAATTTGGAGCGCTCTCAGGACTACGGTGAAAAAGGAAATATCTTCCAATAAAAGCTAGATAGAAGCAATGTCAGAAACTTTTTCATGATGTATCTACTCAGCTAACAGAGTTGAACATTTTTTCTGAGAGAGCAGTTTTGAAACACTCTTTTTGTGGAATCTGCAGGTGGATATTTGTCTAGCTTTCAGGATTATGTTGGAAACGGGATTACATATAAAAAGCAGACAGCAGCATTCCCAGAAACTTCTTTGTGATGTTTGCATTCAAGTCACAGAGTTGAACATTCCCTTTCATAGAACAGGTTTGAAACACTCTTTTTGTAGTATCTGGATGTGGACATTTGGAGCGCTTTCAGGCCTATGGTGAAAAAGGAAGTATCTTCCCCTGAAAACTAGACAGAAGCATTCTCAGAAACTTATTTGTGATGTGCGCCGTCAAGTAACAGTGTTAAACCTTTCTTTTGATAGAGTAGTTTTGAAACACTCTTTTTGTAAAATCTGCAAGAGGATATTTGGATAGCTTTGAGGATTTCGTTGGAAACGGGATTGTCTTCATATAAAATCTAGACAGAAGCATTCTCAGAAGCTTCATTGGGATGTTTCAATTGAAGTCACAGTGTTGAATAGTCCCTTTCATAGAGCAGGTTTGAAATACTCTTTTTGTAGTATCTGGAAGTGGACATTTGGAGCGTTCTGAGGACTACGGTGAAAAAGGAAATATCTTCCAATAAAAGCTAGATAGAAGCAATGTCAGAAACTTTTTCATGACGTATCTACTCAGCTAACAGTGTTGAACCTTTCTTTTGAGAGAGCCGTTTTGAAACACTCTTTTTGTGGAATCTGCAAGTGGATATTTGTCTAGCTTTGAGGATTTCGTTGGAAACGGGATTACTATAAAAAGCAGACAGCAGCATTCCCAGAAACTTCTTTGTGATGTTTGCATTCAAGTCACAGAGTTGAACATTCCCTTTCATAGAGCAGGTTTGAAACACTCTTTTTGTAGTATCTGGATGTGGACATTTGGAGCGCTTTCAGGCCTATGGTGAAAAAGGAAATATCTTCCCCTGAAAACTAGACAGAAGCATTCTCAGAATCTTATTTGTGATGTGCGCCCTCATCTAACAGTGTTGAAGCTTTCTTTTGATAGAGCAGTTTTGAAACACTCTTTTTGTAAAATCTGCAAGAGGATATTTGGATAGCTTTGAGGATTTCGTTGGAAACGGGATTGTCTTCATATAAACTCTAGACAGAAGCATTCTCAGAAGCTTCATTGGGATGTTTCAATTGAAGTCACAGTGTTGAACAGTCCCTTTCATAGAGTAGGTTTGAAACACTCTTTTTGTAGTATCTGGATGTGGACATTTGGAGCGCTTTGAGGCCTATGGTTTAAAAGGAAATATCTTCCCCTGAAAACTAGACAGAAGCATTCTCAGAAACTTATTTGTGATGTGCGCCCTCAACTAACAGTGTTGAAGCTTTCTTTTGATAGAGCTGTTTTGAAACACTCTTTTTGTGGAATCTGCAAGCGGATATTTGTCTAGCTTTGAGGATTTCGTTGGAAACGGGATTACATATAAAAAGCAGACAGCAGCATTCCCAGAATCTTGTTTGTGATGTTTGCATTCAAGTCACAGAGTTGAACATTCCCTTTCAGAGAGCAGGTTTGAAACACTCTTTTTATAATATCTGGATGTGGACATTTGGAGCCCTTTCAGGCCTATGGTGATAAAGGAAATATCTTCTCCTGAAAACTAGACAGAAGCATTCTCAGCAAACTTATTTGTGATGTGCGCCCTCAACTAACAGTGTTAAACCTTTCTTTTGATAGAGTAGTTTTGAAACACTCTTTTTGTAAAATCTGCAAGAGGATATTTGGATAGCTTTGAGGATTTCGTTGGAAACAGGATTGTCTTCATATAAACTCTAGACAGTAGCATTCACAGAAGCCTCATTGGGATGTTTCAATTGAAGTCACAGTGTTGAACAGTCCCTTTCATAGAGCAGGTTTGAAACACTCTTTTTGTAGTATCTGGATGTGGACATTTGGAGCGCTTTCAGGCCTATGGTGAAAAAGGAAATATCTTCCTCTGAAAACTAGACAGAAGCATTCTCAGAAACTTATTTGTGATGTGCGCCCTCAACTAACAGTGTTGAAGCTTTCTTTTGATAGAGCAGTTTTGAAACACTCTTTTTGTAATATCTGCAAGAGGACATTTGGATAGCTTTGAGGATTTCGTTGGAAACGGGATTAATTATAAAAAGCAGACAGCAGCATTCCCAGAATCTTATTTGTGATGTTTGCATTCAAGTCACAGAGTTGAACATTCCCTTTCAGAGAGCAGGTTTGAAACACTCTTTTTATAGTATCTGGATGTGGACATTTGGAGCGCTTTCAGGCCTATGGTGAAAAAGGAAATATCTTCTCCTGAAAACTAGAGAGAAGCATTCTCAGAAACTTATTTGTGATGTGCGCCCTCAACTAACAGTGTTGAACCTTTCTTTTGATAGAGCAGATTTGAAACACACTTTTTGTAATATCTGCAAGAGGATATTTGGATAGCTTTGAGGATTTCTTTGGAAACGGGATTGTCTTCATATAAACTCTAGACAGAAGCATTCTCAGAAGCTTCATTGGGATGTTTCAATTGAAGTCACAGTGTTGAACAGTCCCTTTCATAGAGCAGGTTTGAAACACTCTTTTTGTAGTATCTGGATGTGGACATTTGGAGCGCTTTCAGGCCTATGGTGAAAAAGAAAATATCTTCCCCTGAAAACTAGAGAGAAGCATTCTCAGAAACTTATTTGTGATGTGCGCCCTCAACTAACAGTGTTGAAGCTTTCTTTTGATAGAGCAGTTTTGAAACACTCTTTTTGTAATATCTGCAAGAGGATATTTGGATAGCTTTGAGGATTTCGTTGGAAACGGGATTAATTATAAAAAGCAGACAGCAGCATTCTCAGAAACTTATTTGTGATGTGCGCCCTCAACTAACAGTGTTGAAGCTTTATTTTGATAGAGCAGTTTTGAAACACTCTTTTTGTAATATCTGCAAGAGAATATTTGGATAGCTTTGAGGATTTCGTTGGAAACGGGATTGTCTTCATATAAACTCTAGAAAGAAGCATTCTCAGAAGCTTCATTGGGATGATTCAGTGGAAGTCACAGTGTTGAACAGTCCCTTTCATAGAGCAGGTTTGAAACACTCTTTTTGTAGTATCTGGAAGTGGACATTTGGAGTGCTCTCAGGACTGCGGTGAAAAAGGAAGTATCTTCCAATAAAAGCTACATAGAAGCAATATCAGAAACTTTTTCATGATGTATCTACCCAGCTAAAAGAGTTGAACCTTTCTTTTGAGAGAGCAGTTTTGAAACACTCTTTTTGTGGAATCTGCAAGTGGATATTTGTCTAGCTTTGAGGATTTCGTTGGAAACGGGATTACATATAAAAAGCAGACAGCAGCATTCCCAGAAACTTCTTTGTGATGTTTGCATTCAAGTCACAGAGTTGAACATTCCCTTTCATAGCAGCAGGTTTGAAACAGTCTTTTTGTAGTATCTGGATGTGGAGATTTGGAGCGCTTTCAGGCCTATGGTGAAAAAGGAAATATCTTCCCCTGAAAACTAGACAGAAGCATTCTCAGAAACTTATTTGTGATGTGCGCCCTCAACTAACAGTGTTGAAGCTTTCTTTTGATAGAGCAGTTTTGAAACACTCTTTTTGTAATATCTGCAAGAGGATATTTGGATAGCTTTGAGGATTTCGTTGGAAACGGGATTGTCTTCATATAAACTCTAGACAGAAGCATTCTCAGAAGCTTCATTGGGATGTTTCAATTGAAGTTACAGTGTTGAACAGTCCCTTTCATAGAGCAGGTTTCAAACACTCTTTTTGTAGTATCTGGATGTGGACATTTGGAGCGCTTTCAGGCCTATGGTTTAAAAGGAAATATCTTCCCCTGAAAACTAGACAGAAGCATTCTCAGAAACTTATTTGTGATGTGCGCCTTCAACTAACAGTGTTGAAGCATTCTTTTGATAGAGCAGTTTTGAAACACTATTTTGTGGAATCTGCAAGTGGATATTTGTCTAGCTTTGAGGATTTCGTTGGAAACGGGATTACATATAAAAAGCAGACAGCAGCATTCTCAGTAAACTTATTTGTGATGTGCGCCCTCAACTAACAGTGTTGAACCTTTCTTTTGATAGAGCAGTTTTGAAACACTCTTTTTGTAATATCTGCAAGAGGATATTTGGATAGCTTTGAGGATTTCGTTGGAAACGGGATTGTCTTCATATAAACTCTAGACAGAAGCATTCTCAGAAGCTTCATTGGGATGTTTCAATAGAAGTCACAGTGTTGATCAGTCCCTTTCATAGAGCAGGTTTGAAACACTCTTTTTGTAGTATCTGGAAGTGGACATTTGGAGCGTTCTCAGGACTACAGTGAAAAAGGAAATATCTTGCAATAAAAGCTAGATAGAAGCAATCTCAGAAACTTTTTCATGATGTATCTACTCAGCTAACAGAGTTGAACATTTCTTTTGAGAGAGCCGTTTTGAAACACTCTTTTTGTGGAATCTGCAAGTGGATATTTGTCTAGCTTTGAGGATTTCGTTGGAAACGGGATTACATATAAAAAGCAGACAGAAGCATTCCCAGAAACTTCTTTGTGATGTTTGCATTCAAGTCACAGAGTTGAACATTCCCTTTCATAGAGCAGGTTTGAAACACTCTTTTTGTATTATCTGGATGTGGACATTTGGAGCGCTTTCAGGCCTATGGTGAAAAAGGAAATATCTTCCCCTGAAAACTAGACAGAAGCTTTCTCAGAATCTTATTTGTGATGTGCGCCCTCAACTAACACTGTTGAAGCTTTCTTTTGATAGAGCAGTTTTGAAACACTCTTTTCGTAAAATCTGCAAGAGGATATTTTGATAGCTTTGAGGATTTCGTTGGAAACGGGATTGTCTTCATATAAACTCTAGACAGAAGCATTCTCAGAAGCGTCATTGGGATGTTTCAATTGAAGTCACAGTGTTGAACAGTCCCTTTCATAGAGCAGGTTTGAAACACTCTTTTTGTAGTATCTCGATGTGGACATTTGGAGCGCTTTCAGGCCTATGGTTTAAAAGGAAATATCTTCCCCTGAAAACTAGACAGAAGCATTCTCAGAAACTTATTTGTGATGTGCGCCCTCAACTAACAGTGTTGAAGCATTCTTTTGATAGAGCAGTTTTGAAACACTCTTTTTGTGGAATCTGCAAGTGGATATTTGTGTAGCTTTGAGGATTTCGTTGGAAACGGGATTACATATAAAAAGCAGACTGCAGCATTCCCAGAAACTTCTTTGTGATGTTTGCATTCAAGTCACAGAGTTGAACATTCCCTTTCATAGAGCAGGTTTGAAACACTCTTTTTGTAGTATCTGGATGTGGACATGTGGAGCGCTTTCAGGCCTATGGTGAAAAAGGAAATATCTTCCCCTGAAAACTAGACAGAAGTAGTCTCAGAAACTTATTTGTGATGTGCGCCCTCAACTAACAGTGTTGAAGCTTTCTTTTCACAGAGCCGTTTTGAAACACGCTTTTTGTAAAATCTGCAAGAGGATATTTGGATAGCTTTGAGGATTTCGTTGGAAACGGGATTGTCTGCATATAAATTCTAGACAGAAGCATTCTCAGATGCTTCATTGGGACGTTTCAATTGAAGTCACAGTGTTGAACAGTCCCTTTCATAGAGCAGGTTTGAAACACTCTTTTTGTAGTATCTGGATGTGGACATTTGGAACGCTTTCAGGCCTATGGTGAAAAAGGAAATATCTTCCCCTGAAAACTAGACAGAAGCATTCTCAGAAACTTATTTGTGATGTGCCCCCTCAACTAACAGTGTTGAAGCTTTCTTTTGATAGAGCAGTTTTGAAACACTCTTTTTGTGGAATCTGCAAGTGAATATTTGTCTAGCTTTGAGGATTTCGTTGGAAACGGGATTACATATAAAAAGCAGACAGCAGCATTCCCAGAATCTTCTTTGTGATGTTTGCATTCAAGTCACAGAGTTGAACATTCCCTTTCATAGAGCAGGTTTGAAACACTCTTTTTGTAGTATCTCGATGTGGACATTTGGAGCGCTTTCAGGCCTATGGTGAAAAAGGAAATATCTTCTCCTGAAAACTAGACAGAAGCATTCTCAGAATCTTATTTGTGATGTGCGCCCTCAACTAACAGTGTTGAAGCTTTCTTTTGATAGAGCAGATTTGAAACACTCTTTTTGTAAAATCTGCAAGAGGATATTTGCATAGCTTTGAGGATTTCATTGGAAACGGGATTGTCTTCAAATAAACTCTAGACAGAAGCATTCTCAGAAGCTTCATTGGGATGTTTCAATTGAAGTCACAGTGTTGAACAGTCCCTTTCATAGAGCAGGTTTGAAACACTCTTTTTGTAGTATCTGGATGTGGTCATTTGGAGCGCTTTCAGGCCTATGGTGAAAAAGGAAATATCTTCCCCTGAAAACTAGACAGAAGCATTCTCAGAAACTTATTTGTGATGTGTGACCTCAACTAACAGTGTTGAAGCTTTCTTTTGATAGAGTAGTTTTGAAACACTCTTTTTGTGGAATCTGCAAGTGGATATTTGTCTAGCTTTGAGGATTTCGTTGTAAACGGGATTACATATAAAAAGCAGACAGCAGCATTCTCAGAATTTTATCTGTGATGTGCGCCCTCAACTAACAGTGTTGAAGCTTTCTTTTGATAGAGCAGTTTTGAAACACTCTTTTTGTAAAATCTGCAAGAGGATATTTGCATAGCTTTGAGGATTTCATTGGAAACGGGATTGTCTTCATATAAACTCTAGACAGAAGCATTCTCAGAAGCTTCATTGGGATGTTTCAATTGAAGTCACAGTGTTGAACAGTCCCTTTCATAGAGCAGGTTTGAAACACTCTTTTTGTAGTATCTGGAAGTGGACATTTGGAGCGCTCTCAGGACTACGGTGAAAAAGGAAATATCTTCCAATAAAAGCTAGATAGAAGCAATGTCAGAAACTTTTTCATGATGTATCTACTCAGCTAACAGAGTTGAACCTTTCTTTTGAGAGAGCAGTTTTGAAACACTCTTTTTGTGGAATCTGCAAGTGGATATTTGTCTAGCATTGAGGATTTCGTTGGAAACGGGATTACATATAAAAAGCAGACAGCAGCATTCCCAGAAACTTCTTTGTGATATTTGCATTCAAGTCACAGACTTGAACATTCCCTTTCATAGAGCAGGTTTGAAACACTCTTTTTGTAGTATCTGGATGTGGACATTTGGAGCGCTTTCAGGCCTATGGTGAAAAAGGAAATATCTTCCCCTGAAAACTAGACAGAAGCATTCTCAGAATCTTATTTGTGATGTGCGCCCTCAACTAACAGTGTTGAAGCTTTGTTTTGATAGAGCAGTTTTGAAACACTCTTTTTGTAAAATCTGCAAGAGGATATTTGGATAGCTTTGAGGATTTCGTTGGAAACGGGATTGTCTTCATATAAACTCTAGACAGAAGCATTCTCAGAAGCTTCATTGGGATGTTTCAATTGAAGTCACAGTGTTGAACAGTCCCTTTCATAGAGCAGGTTTGAAACACTCTTTTTGTAGTATCTAGATGTGGACATTTGGAGCGCTTTCAGGCCTATGGTGAAAAAGGAAATATCTTCCCCTGAAAACTAGACAGAAGCATTCTCAGAAACTTATTTGTGATGTGCGCCCTCAACTAACAGTGTTGAAGCATTCTTTTGATAGAGCAGTTTTGAAACACTCTTTTTGTGGAATCTGCAAGTGGATATTTGTCTAGCTTTGAGGATTTCGTTGGAAACGGGATTACATATAAAAAGCAGACAGCAGCATTCTCAGTAAACTTATTTGTGATGTGCGCCCTCAACTAACAGTGTTGAACCTTTCTTTTGATAGAGCAGTTTTGAAACACTCTTTTTGTAATATCTGCAAGAGGATATTTGGATAGCTTTGAGGATTTCGTTGGAAACGGGATTGTCTTCATATAAACTCTAGACAGAAGCATTCTCAGAAGCTTCATTGGGATGTTTCAATTGAAGTCACAGTGTTGAACAGTCCCTTTCATAGAGCACGTTTGAAACACTCTTTTTGTAGTATCTGGAAGTGGACATTTGGAGCGCTCTCAGGACTGCGGTGAAAAAGGAAATATCTACAATAAAAGCTAGATAGAAGCAATGTCAGAAACTTTTTCATGATGTATCTACTCAGCTAACAGAGTTGAACCTTTCTTTTGAGAGAGCAGTTTTGAAACACTCTTTTTGTGGAATCTGCAAGTGGATATTTGTCTAGCTTTGAGGATTTCGTTGGAAACGGGATTACATATAAAAAGCAGACAGCAGCATTCCCAGAATCTTCTTTGTGATGTTTGCATTCAAGTCACAGAGTTGAACATTCCCTTTCATAGAGCAGGTTTGAAACACTCTTTTTGTAGTATCTGGATGTGGACATTTGGAGCGCTTTCAGGCCTATGGTGAAAAAGGAAATATACTTCCCCTGAGAACTAGACAGAAGCATTCTCAGAAACTTATTTGTGATGTGCGCCCTCAACTAACAATGTTGAACCTTTCTTTTGATAGAGTAGTTTTGAAACACTCTTTTTGTAAAATCTGCAAGAGGATATTTGGATAGCATTGAGGATTTCGTTGGAAACGGGATTGTCTTCATATAAACTCTAGACAGTAGCATTCTGATAAGCTTCATTGGGATGTTTCAATTGAAGTCACAGTGTTGAACAGTCCCTTTCATAGAGCAGGTTTGAAACACTCTTTTTGTAGTATCTGGAAGTGGATATTTGGAGAGTTCTCAGGAATACGGTGAAAAAGGAAATATCTTCCAATAAAAGCTAGATAGAAGCAATGTCAGAAACATTTTCATGATGTATCTACTCAGCTAACAGAGTTGAACCTTTCTTTTGAGAGAGCAGTTTTGAAACACTCTTTTTGTGGAATCTGCAAGTGGGTATTTGTCTAGCTTTGAGGATTTCATTGGAAACGGGATTACATATAAAAAGCAGACAGCAGCATTCCCAGAAACTTCTTTGTGATATTTGCATTCAAGTCACAGACTTGAACATTCCCATTCATAGAGCAGGTTTGAAACACTCTTTTTGTAGTATCTGGATGTGGACATTTGGAGCGATTTCAGGCCTATGGTGAAAAAGGAAATATCTTCCCCTGAAAACTAGACAGAAGCATTCTCAGAAACTTATTTGTGATGTGCGCCCTCAACTAACAGTGTTGAACCTTTCTTTTGATAGAGCAGTTTTGAAACACTCTTTTTGTAATATCTGCAAGAGGATATTTGGATAGCTTTGAGGATTTCGTTGGAAACGGGATTGTCTTCATATAAACTCTAGACAGAAGCATTCTCAGAAGCTTCATTGGGATGTTTCAATTGAAGTCACAGTGTTGAACAGTCCCTTTCATAGAGCAGGTTTGAAACACTCTTTTTGTAGTATCTGGAAGTGGACATTTGGAGAGATCTCAGGAATACGGTGATAAAGGAAATATCTTCCAATAAAAGCTAGATAGAAGCAATGTCAGAAACTTTTTCATGATGTATCTGCTCAGCTAACAGAGTTGAACCTTTCTTTTGAGACAGCAGTTTTGAAACACTCTTTTTGTGGAATCTGCAAGTGGATATTTGTCTAGCTTTGAGGATTTCGTTGGAAACGGGATTACATATAAAAAGCAGACAGCAGCATTCCCAGAAACTTCTTTGTGACGTTTGCATTCAAGTCACAGAGTTGAACATTCCCTTTCATAGAGCAGGTTTGAAACACTCTTTTTGTAGTATCTGGATGTGGACATTTGGAGCGCTTTCAGGCCTATGGTGAAAAAGGAAATATCTTCCCCTGAAAACTAGACAGAAGCATTCTCAGAATCCTATTTGTGATGTGCGCCCTCAACTAACAGTGTTGAACCTTTCTTTTGATAGAGCAGTTTTGAAACACTCTTTTTGTAAAATCTGCAAGAGGATATTTGGATAGCTTTGAGGATTTCGTTGGAAACGGGATTGTCTTCATATAAACTCTAGACAGAAGCATTCCCAGTAACTTCTTTGTGATGTTTGCATTCAAGTCACAGAGTTGACACATTCCCTCTCATAGAGCAGGTTTGAAACACTCTTTTTGTAGTATCTGGATGTGGACATTTGGAGCGCTTTCAGGCCTATGGTGAAAAAGGAAATATCTTCCCCTGAAAACTAGACAGAAGCATTCTCAGAAACTTATTTGTGATGTGCGCCCTCAACTAACAGTGTTGAACCTTTCTTTTGATAGAGCAGTTTTGAAACACTCTTTTTGTAATATCTGCAAGAGGATATTTGGATAGCTTTGAGGATTTCGTTGGAAACGGGATTACATATAAAAAGCAGACAGCAGCATTCTCAGAAACTTATTTGTGATGTGCGCCCTCAACTAACAGTGTTGAAGCTTTATTTTGATAGAGCAGTTTTGAAACACTCTTTTTGTAATATCTGCAAGAGAATATTTGGATAGCTTTGAGGATTTCGTTGGAAACGGGATTGTCTTCATATAAACTCTAGAAAGAAGCATTCTCAGAAGCTTCATTGGGATGTTTCAATTGAAGTCACAGTGTTGAACAGTCCCTTTCATAGAGCAGGTTTGAAACACTCTTTTTGTAGTATCTGGAAGTGGACATTTGGAGAGATCTCAGGAATACGGTGATAAAGGAAATATCTTCCAATAAAAGCTAGATAGAAGCAATGTCAGAAACTTTTTCATGATGTATCTACTCAGCTAACAGAGTTGAACCTTTCCTTTGAGAGAGCAGTTTTGAAACACTCTTTTTGTGGAATCTGCAAGTGGATATTTGTCTAGCTCTGAGGATTTCGTTGGAAACGGGATTACATATAAAAAGCAGACAGCAGCATTCCCAGAAACTTCTTTGTGATGTTTGCATTCAAGTCACAGAGTTGAACATTCCCTTTCATAGAGCAGGTTTGAAACACTCTTTTTGTAGTATCTGGATGTGGACATTTGGAGCGCTTTCAGGCCTATGGTGGAAAAGGAAATATCTTCCCCTGAAAACTAGACAGAAGCATTCTCAGAATCTTATTTGTGATGTGCACCCTCAACTAACAGTGTTGAAGCTTTCTTTTGATAGAGCAGTTTTGAAACACTCTTTTTGTAATATCTGCAAGAGGATATTTGGATAGCTTTGAGGATTTCGTTGGAAACGGGATTGTCTTCATATAAACTCTAGACAGAAGCATTCTCAGAAGCTTCATTGGGATGTTTCAATTGAAGTCACAGTGTTGAACAGTCACTTTCATAGAGCAGGTTTGAAACACTCTTTTTGTAGTATCTGGATGTGGACATTTGGAGCGCTTTCAGGCCTATGGTGAAAAAGGAAATATCTTCCCCTGAAAACTAGACAGAAGCATTCTCAGAAACTTATTTGTGATGTGCGCCCTCAACTAACAGTGTTGAACCTTTCTTTTGATAGAGCAGTTTTGAAACACTCTTTTTGTAATATCTGCAAGAGGATATTTGGATAGCTTTGAGGATTTCGTTGGAAACGGGATTAATTATAAAAAGCAGACAGCAGCATTCCCAGAATCTTGTTTGTGATGTTTGCATTCAAGTCACAGAGTTGAACATTCCCTTTCAGAGAGCAGGTTTGAAACACTCTTTTTATAGTATCTGGATGTGGACATTTGGAGCGCTTTCAGGCCTAAGGTGAAAAAGGAAATATCTTCCCCTGTAAACTAGACAGAAGCATTCTCAGAATCTTATTGGTGATGTGCGCCCTCAACTAACAGTGTTGAAGCTTTCTTTTGATAGAGCAGTTTTGAAACACTCTTTTCGTAAAATCTGCAAGAGGATATTTGGATAGCTTTGAGGATTTCGTTGGAAACGGGATTGTCTTCATATAAACTCTAGACAGAAGCATTCTCAGAAGCTTCATTGGGATGTTTCAATTGAAGTCACAGTGTTGAACAGTCCCTTTCATAGAGCAGGTTTGAAACACTCTTTTTGTAGTATCTGGAAGTGGACATTTGGAGCGCTCTCAGGACTGCGGTGAAAAAGGAAATATCTTCCAATAAAAGCTAGATAGAAGCAATGTCAGAAACTTTTTCATGATGTATCTACTCAGCTAACAGAGTTGAACCTTTCCTTTAAGAGAGCAGTTTTGAAACACTCTTTTTGTGGAATCTGCAAGTGGATATTTGTCTAGCTTTGAGGATTTCGTTGGAAACGGGATTACATATAAAAAGCAGACAGCAGCATTCCCAGTAACTTCTTTCTGATGCTTGCATTCAAGTCACAGAGTTGAACATTCCCTTTCAAAGAGCAGGTTTGAAACACTCTTTTTGTAGTATCTGGGTGTGGACATTTGGAGCGCTTTCAGGCCTATGGTGAAAAAGGAAATATCTTCCCCTGAAAACTAGACAGAAGCATTCTCAGAAACTTATTTGTGATGTGCGCCCTCAACTAACAGTGTTGAAGCTTTCTTTTGATAGAGCAGTTTTGAAACACTCTTTTTGTAATATCTGCAAGAGGATATTTGGATAGCTTTGAGGATTTCGTTGGAAACGGGATTGTCTTCATATAAACTCTAGACAGTAGCATTCTCAGAAGCTTCATTGGGATGTTTCAATTGAAGTCACAGTGTTGAACAGTCCCTTTCATAGATCAGGTTTGAAACACTCTTTTTGTAGTATCTGGAAGTGGACATTTGGAGCGCTCTCAGGACTGCGGTGAAAAAGGAAATATCTTCCAATAAAAGCTACATAGAAGCAATGTCAGAATCTTTTTCATGATGTGTCTACTCAGCTAACAGAGTTGAACCTTCCTTTGAGAGAGCAGTTTTGAAACACTCTTTTTGTGGAATCTGCAAGTGGATATTTGTCTAGCTTTGAGGATTTCGTTGGAAACGGGATTACATATAAAAAGCAGACAGCAGCATTCCCAGAAACTTCTTTGTGATATTTGCATTCAAGTCACAGACTTGAACATTCCCTTTCATAGAGCAGGTTTGAAACACTCTTTTTGTAGTATCTGGATGTGGACATTTGGAGCGCTTTCAGGCCTATGGTGAAAAAGGAAATATCTTCCCCTGAAAACTAGACAGAAGCATTCTCAGAATCTTATTTGTGATGTGCGCCCTCAACTAACAGTGTTGAAGCTTTCTTTTGATAGAGCAGTTTTGAAACACTCTTTTTGTAAAATCTGCAAGAGGATATTTGGATAGCTTTGAGGATTTCGTTGGAAACGGGATTGTCTTCATATAAACTCTAGACAGAAGCATTCTCAGAAGCGTCATTGGGATGTTTCAATTGAAGTCACAGTGTTGAACAGTCCCTTTCATAGAGCAGGTTTGAAACACTCTTTTTGTAGTATCTCGATGTGGACATTTGGAGCGCTTTCAGGCCTATGGTTTAAAAGGAAATATCTTCCCCTGAAAACTAGACAGAAGAATTCTCAGAAACTTATTTGTGATGTGCGCCCTCAACTAACAGTGTTGAAGCTTTCTTTTGATAGAGCAGTTTTGAAACACTCTTTTTGTGGAATCTGCAAGTGGATATTTGTCTAGCTTTGAGGATTTCGTTGGAAACGGGAATACATATAAAAAGCAGACAGCAGCATTCTCAGTAAACTTATTTGTGATGTGCGCCCTCAACTAACAGTGTTGAACCTTTCTTTTGATAGAGCAGTTTTGAAACACTCTTTTTGTAATATCTGCAAGAGGATATTTGGATAGCTTTGAGGATTTCGTTGGAAACGGGATTGTCTTCATATAAACTCTAGACAGAAGCATTCTCAGAAGCTTCATTGGGATGTTTCAATTGAAGTCACAGTGTTGAACAGTCCCTTTAGTAGAGCAGGTTTGAAACACTCTTTTTGTAGTATCTGGAAGTGGACATTTGGAGCGCTCTCAGGACTGCAGTGAAAAAGGAAATATCTTCCAATAAAAGCTAGATAGAAGCAATGTCAGAAACTTTTTCATGATGTATCTACTCAGCTAACAGAGTTGAACCTTTCTTTTGAGAGAGCAGTTTTGAAACACTCTTTTTGTAAAATCTGCAAGAGGATATTTGGATAGCTTTGAGGATTTCGTTGGAAACGGGATTACATATAAAAAGCAGACAGCGGCATTCCCAGAAACTTCTTTGTGATGTTTGCATTCAAGTCACAGAGTTGAACATTCCCTTTCATAGAGCAGGTTTGAAACACTCTTTTTGTAGTATCTGGATGTGGACATTTACAGCGCTTTCAGGCCTAAGGTGAAAAAGGAAATATCTTCCCCTGAAAACTAGACAGAAGCATTCTCAGAAACTTATTTGTGATGTGCTCCCACAACTAACAGTGTTAAACCTTTCTATTGATAGAGTAGTTTTGAAACACTCTTTTTGTAAAATCTGCAAGAGGATATTTGGATAGCTTTGAGGATTTCGTTGGAAACGGGATTGTCTTCATCTAAAATCTAGACAAAAGCATTCTCAGAATCTTCATTGGGATGTTTCAATTGAAGTCACAGTGTTGAACAGTCCCTTTCATAGAGCAGGTTTGAAACACTCTTTTTGTAGTATCTGGATGTGGACATTTGGAGCGCTTTCAGGCCTATGGTTTAAAAGGAAATATCTTCCCCTGAAAACTAGACAGAAGCATTCTCAGAAACTTATTTGTGATGTGCGCCCTCAACTAACAGTGTTGAAGCTTTCTTTTGACAGAGCAGTTTTGAAACACTCTTTTTGTGGAATCTGCAAGTGGATATTTGTCTAGCTTTGAGGATTTCGTTGGAAACGGGATTACATATAAAAAGCAGACAGCAGCATTCCCAGAATCTTGTATGTGATGTTTGCATTCAAGTCACAGAGTTGAACATTCCCTTTCAGAGAGCAGGTTTGAAACACTCTTTTTATAGTATCTAGATGTGGACATTTGGAGCGCTTTCAGGCCTATGGTGAAAAAGGAAATATCTTCTCCTGAAAAGTAGACAGAAGCATTCTCAGAAGCTTCATTGGGATGTTTCAATTGAATTCACAGTGTTGAACAGTCCCTTTCATAGAGCAGGTTTGAAACACTCTTTTTGTAGTATCTTGAAGTGGACATTTGGAGCGCTCTCAGGACTGCGGTGAAAAAGGAAATATCTTCCAATAAAAGCTAGATGGAAGCAATGTCAGAAACTTTTTCATGATGTATCTACTCAGCTAACAGAGTTGAATCTTTCTTTTGAGAGAGCAGTTTTGAAACACTCTTTTTGTGGAATCTGCAAGTGGATATTTGTCTAGCTTTGAGGATTTCGTTGGAAACGGGATTACATATAAAAAGCAGACAGCAGCATTCCCAGAAACTTCTTTGTGAAGTTTGCATTGAAGTCACAGAGTTGAACATTCCCTTTCATAGAGCAGGTTTGAAACACTCTTTTTGTAGTATCTGGATGTGGACATTTGGAGCGCTTTCAGGCCTATGGTGAAAAAGGAAATATCTTCCCCTGAAAACTAGACAGAAGCATTCTCAGAAACTTATTTGTGATGTGCGCCCTCAACTAACAGTGTTGAAGCTTTCTTTTGATAGAGCAGTTTTGAAACACTCTTTTTGTAATATCTGCAAGAGGATATTTGGATAGCTTTGAGGATTTCGTTGGAAACGGGATTGTCTTCATATAAACTCTAGACAGAAGCATTCTCAGAAGCTTCATTGGGATGTTTCAATTGAAGTCACAGTGTTGAACAGTCCCTTTCATAGAGCAGGTTTGAAACACTCTTTTTGTAGTATCTGGAAGTGGACATTTGGAGCGCTCTCAGGACTACGATGATAAAGGAAATATCTTCCAATAAAAGCTAGATAGAAGCAATGTCAGAAACTTTTTCATGATGTATCTACTCAGCTAACAGAGTTGAACCTTTCTTTTGAGAGAGCAGTTTTGAAACACTCTTTTTGTGGAATCTGCAAGTGGATATTTGTCTAGCTTTGAGGATTTCGTTGTTAACGGGATTACATATAAAAAGCAGACAGCAGCATTCCCAGAAACTTCTTTGTGATGTTTGCATTCAAGTCACAGAGTTGAACATTCCCTTTCATAGAGCAGGTTTGAAACACACTTTTTGTAGTATCTGTATGTGGACATTTGGAGCGCTTTCAGGCCTATGGTGAAAAAGGAAATATCTTCCCCTTAAAACTAGACAGAAGCATTCTCAGAAACTTATTTGTGATGTGCGCCCTCAACTAACAGTGTTGAAGCTTTCTTTTGATAGAGCAGTTTTGAAACACTCTTTTTGTAATATCTGCAAGAGGATATTTGGATAGCTTTGAGGATTTCGTTGGAAACGGGATTGTCTTCATATAAACTCTAGGCAGAAGCATTCTCAGAAGCTTCATTGGGATGTTTCAATTGAAGTCACAGTGTTGAACAGTCCCTTTCATAGAGCAGGTTTGAAACACTCTTTTTGTAGTATCTGGAAGTGGACATTTGGAACGCTCTCAGGACTGCGGTGAAAAAGGAAATATCTTCCAATAAAAGCTAGATAGAAGGAATGTCAGAAACTTTTTCATGATGTATCTACTCAGCTAAAAGGGTTGAACATTTCTTTTGAGAGAGCAGTTTTGAAACACTCTTTTTGTGGAATCTGCAAGTGGATATTTGTCTAGCTTTGAGGATTTCGTTGGAAACGGGATTACATATAAAAAGCAGACAGCAGCATTCCCAGAAACTTCTTTGTGAAATTTGCATTCAAGTCACAGACTTGAACATTCCCTTTCATAGAGCAGGTTTGAAACACTCTTTTTGTAGTATCTGGATGTGGACATTTGGAGCGCTTTCAGGCCTATGGTGAAAAAGGAAATATCTTCCCCTGAAAACTAGACAGAAGCATTCCCAGAAACTTATTTGTGATGTGCGCCCTCAACTAACAGTGTTGAACCTTTCTTTTGATAGAGCAGTTTTGAAACACTCTTTTTGTAAAATCTGCAAGAGGATATTTGGATAGCTTTGAGGATTTCGTTGGAAACGGGATTGTCTTCATATAGAATCTAGACAGAAGCATTCTCAGAAGCTTCATTCGGATGTTTCAATTGAAGTCACAGTGTTGAACAGTCCCTTTCATAGAGCATGTTTGAAACACTCTTTTTGTAGCATCTGGAAGTGGACATTTGGAGCGCTCTCAGGACTACAGTGAAAAAGGAAATATCTTCCAATAAAAGCTAGATAGAAGCAATGTCAGAAACTTTTTCATGATGTATCTACTCAGCTAACAGAGTTGAACCTTTCTTTTGAGAGAGCAGTTTTGAAACACTCTTTTTGTGGAATCTGCAAGTGGATATTTGTCTAGCTTTGAGGATTTCGTTGGAAACGGGATTACATATAAAAAGCAGACAGCAGCATTCCCAGTAACTTCTTTGTGATGTTTGCATTCAAGTCACAGAGTTGAACATTCCCTTTCATACAGCAGGTTTGAAACACTCTTTTTGTAGTATCTGGATGTGGACATTTGCAGCGCTTTCAGGCCTAAGGTGAAAAAGGAAATATCTTCCCCTGAAAACTAGACAGAAGCATTCTCAGAAACTTATTTGTGATGTGCGCCCTCAACTAACAGTGTTGAACCTTTCTTTTGATAGAGCAGTTTTGAAACACTCTTTTTGTAAAATCTGCAAGAGGATATTTGGATAGCTTTCAGGATTTCGTTGGAAACGGGATTGTCTTCATATAAACTCTAGACAGAAGCATTCTCAGAAGCTTCATTGGGATGTTTCAATTGAAGTCACAGTGTTGAACAGTCCCTTTCATAGAACAGGTTTCAAACACTCTTTTTGTAGTATCTGGATGTGGACATTTGGAGCGCTTTCAGGCCTATGGTTTAAAAGGAAATATCTTCCACTGAAAACTAGACAGAAGCATTCTCAGAAACTTATTTGTGATGTGCGCCCTCAACTAACAGTGTTGAAGCATTCTTTTGATAGAGCAGTTTTGAAACACTCTTTTTGTGGAATCTGCAAGTGGATATTTGTCTAGCTTTGAGGATTTCGTTGGAAACGGGATTACATATAAAAAGCAGACAGCAGCATTCTCAGTAAACTTATTTGTGATGTGCGCCCTCAACTAACAGTGTTGAACCTTTCTTTTGATAGAGCAGTTTTGAAACACTCTTTTTGTAATATCTGCAAGAGGATATTTGGATAGCTTTGAGGATTTCGTTGGAAACGGGATTGTCTTCATATAAACTCTAGACAGAAGCATTCTCAGAAGCTTCATTGGGATGTTTCAATTGAAGTCACAGTGTTGAACAGTCCCTTTCATAGAGCAGGTTTGAAACACTCTTTTTGTAGTATCTGGAAGTGGACATTTGGAACGCTCTCAGGACTGCGTTGAAAAAGGAAATATCTTCCAATAAAAGCTAGATAGAAGCAATGTCAGAAACTTTTTCATGATGTATCTACTCAGCTAACAGAGTTGAACCTTTCTTTTCAGAGAGCAGTTTTGAAACACTCTTTTTGTGGAATCTGCAAGTGGATATTTGTCTAGCTTTGAGGATTGCGTTGGAAACGGGATTACATATAAAAAGCAGACAGCAGCATTCCCAGTAACTTCTTTGTGATGTTTCCATTCAAGTCACAGAGTTGAACATTCCCTTTCATAGAGCAGGTTTGAAACACTTTTTTTGTAGTATCTGGATGTGGACATTTGGAGCGCTTTCAGGCCTATGGTGAAAAAGGAAATATATTCCAATAAAAGCTAGATAGAAGCATTCTCAGAATCTTATTTGTGATGTGCGCCCTCAACTAACAGTGTTGAAGCTTTCTTTTGATAGAGCAGTTTTGAAACACTCTTTTCGTAAAATCTGCAAGAGGATATTTTGATAGCTTTGAGGATTTCGTTGGAAACGGGATTCTCTTCATATAAACTCTAGACAGAAGCATTCTCAGAAGCTTCATTGGGATGTTTCAATTGAAGTCACAGTGTTGAACAGTCCCTTTCATAGAGCAGGTTTGAAACACTCTTTTTGTAGTATCTGGATGTGGACATTTGGAGCGCTTTGAGGCCTATGGTTTAAAAGGAAATATCTTCCCCTGAAAACTAGACAGAAGCATTCTCAGAAACTTATTTGTGATGTGCGCCCTCAACTAACAGTGTTGAAGCTTTCTTTTGATAGAGCAGTTTTGAAACACTCTTTTTGTGGAATCTGCAAGTGGATATTTGTCTAGCTTTGAGGATTTCGTTGGAAACGGGATTACATATAAAAAGCAGACAGCAGCATTCTCAGAAACTTATTTGTGATGTGCGCCCTCAACTAACAGTGTTGAAGCTTTCTTTTGATAGAGCAGTTTTGAAACACTCTTTTTGTAATATCTGCAAGAGGATATTTGGATAGCTTTGAGGATTTCGTTGGAAACGGGATTAATTATACAAAGCAGACAGCAGCATTCTCAGAAGCTTCTTTGGGATGTTTCAATTGAAGTCACAGTGTTGAACAGTTCCTTTCATAGAACAGGTTTGAAACACTCTTTTTGTAGTATCTGGAAGTGGACATTTGGAGCGCTCTCAGGACTATGGTGAAAAAGGAAATATCTTCCAATAAAAGCTACATAGAAGCAATGTCAGAAACTTTTTCATGATGTATCTACTCAGCTAACAGAGTTGAAACTTTCCTTTGAGAGAGCAGTTTTGAAACACTCTTTTTGTGGAATCTGCAAGTGGATGTTTGTCTAGCTTTGAGGATTTCGTTGGAAACGGGTTTACATATAAAAAGCAGACAGCAGCATTCCCAGAAACTTCTTTGTGTTGTTTGCATTCAAGTCACAGAGTTTAACATTCCCTTTCATAGAGCAGGTTTGAAACACTCTTTTTGTAGTATCTGGATGTGGACATTTGGAGCGCTTTCAGGCCTATGGTGAAAAAGGAAATATCTTCCCAAGAAAACTAGACAGAAGCATTCTCAGAATCTTATTTGTGATGTGCGCCCTCAACTAACAGTGTTGAAGCTTTCTTTTGATAGAGCAGTTTTGAAACACTCTTTTTGTAAAATCTGCAAGAGGATATTTGGATAGCTTTGAGGATTTCGTTGGAAACGGGATTGTCTTCATATAAACTCTAGACAGAAGCATTCTCAGAAGCTTCATTGGGATGTTTCAATTGAAGTCACAGTGTTGAACAGTCCCTTTCATAGAGCAGGTTTGAAACACTCTTTTTGTAGTATCTGGAAGTGGACATTTGGAGCGTTCTCAGGACTACAGTGAAAAAGGAAATATCTTCCAATAAAAGCTAGATAGAAGCATTCTCAGAAACTTATTTCTGATGTGCGCCCTCAACTAACAGTGTTGAAGCATTCTTTTGATAGAGCAGTTTTGAAACACTCTTTTTGTGGAATCTGTAAGTGGATATTTGTCTAGCTTTGAGGATTTCGTTGGAAACGGGATTACATATAAAAAGCAGACAGCAGCACTCCCAGAATCTTCTTTGTGATGTTTGCATTCAAGTCACAGAGTTGAACATTCCCTTTCATAGAGCAGGTTTGAAACACTCTTTTTATAGTCTGGATGTGGACATTTGGAGCGCTTTCAGGCCTATGGTGAAAAAGGAAATATCTTCTCCTGAAAAATAGACAGAAGCATTCTCAGAAACTTATTTGAGATGTGCGCCCTCAACTAACAGTGTTGAAGCTTTCTTTTGATAGAGCCGTTTTGAAACACTCTTTTTGTAATATCTGCAAGAGGATATTTGGATAGCTTTGAGGATTTCGTTGGAAACGGGATTGTCTTCATATAAACTCTAGACAGAAGCATTCTCAGAAGCTTCATCGGGATGTTTCAATTGAAGTCACAGTGTTGAACAGTCCCTTTCATAGAGCAGGTTTGAAACACTCTTTTTGTAGTATCTGGAAGTGGACATTTGGAGCGCTTTCAGGCCTATGGTCTAAAAGGAAATATCTTCCCCTGAAAACTAGACAGAAGCATTCTCAGAAACTTATTTGTGATGTGCGCCCTCAACTAACAGTGTTGAAGCTTTCTTTTGATAGAGCAGTTTTGAAACACTCTTTTTGTAAAATCTGCAAGAGGATATTTGGATAGCTTTGACGATTTCGTTGGAAACGGGATTGTCTTCATATAAACTCTAGACAGAAGCATTCTCAGAATCTTCATTGGGATGTTTCAATTGAAGTCACAGTGTTGAACAGTCCCTTTCATAGAGCAGGTTTGAAACACTCTTTTTGTAGTATCTGGAAGTGGACATTTGGAGCGCTCTCAGGACTGCGGTGAAAAAGGAAATATCTTCCAATAAAAGCTACATAGAAGCAATGTCAGAAACTTTTTCATGATGTATCTACTCAGCTAACAGAGTTGAACCTTTCCTTTGAGAGAGCAGTTTTGAAACACTCTTTTTGTGGAATCTGCAAGTGGATGTTTTCTAGCTTTGAGGATTTCGTTGGAAACGGGATTACATATAAAAAGCAGACAGCAGCATTCCCAGTAACTTCTTTGTGATGTTTGCATTCAAGTCACAGAGTTGAACATTCGCTTTCATAGAGCAGGTTTGAAACACTCTTTTTGTAGTATCTGGATGTGGACATTTGGAGCGCTTTCAGGCCTATGGTGAAAAAGGAAATATCTTCCCCTGAAAACTAGACAGAAGCATTCTCAGAAACTTATTTGTGATGTGCGTCCTCAACTAACAGTGTTGAACCTTTCCTTTGATAGAGCAGTTTTGAAACACTCTTTTTGTAAAATCTGCAAGAGGATATTTGGATAGCTTTGAGGATTTCGTTGGAAACGGGATTGTCTTCATATAAAATCTAGACAGAAGCATTCTCAGAAGCGTCATTGGGATGTTTCAATTGAAGTCACAGTGTTGAACAGTCCCTTTCATAGAGCAGGTTTGAAACACTCTTTTTGTAGTATCTGGATGTGGACATTTGGAGCGCTTTCAGGCCTATGGTTTAAAAGGAAATATCTTCCCCTGAAAACTAGACAGAAGCATTCCCAGAAACTTCTTTGTGATGTTTGCATTCAAGTCACAGAGTTGAACATTCCCTTTCATAGAGCAGGTTTGAAACACTCTTTTTGTAGTATCTGGATGTGTACATTTGCAGCACTTTCAGGCCTAAGGTGAAAAAGGAAATATCTTCCCCTGAAAACTAGACAGAAGCATTCTCAGAAACTTATTTGTGATGTGCGCCCTCAACTAACAGTGTTGAAGCTTTCTTTTGATAGAGCAGTTTTGAAACACACTTTTTGTAATATCTGCAAGAGGATATTTGGATAGCTTTGAGGATTTCGTTGGAAACGGGTTTGTCTTCATATAAACTCTAGACAGAAGCATTCTCAGAAGCTTCATTGGGATGTTTCAATTGAAGTCACAATGTTGAACAGTACCTTTCATAGAACAGGTTTGAAACACTCTTTTTGTAGTATCTGGAAGTGGACATTTGGAGCGCTCTCAGGACTACGGTGAAAAAGGAAATATCTTCCAATAAAAGCTACATAGAAGCAATGTCAGAAACTTTTTCATGATGTATCTACTCAGCTAACAGAGTTGAACCTTTCCTTTGAGAGAGCAGTTTTGAAACACTCTTTTTGTGGAATCTGCAAGTGGATATTTGTCTAGCTTTGAGGATTTCGTTGGAAACGGGATTACATATAAAAAGCAGACAGCAGCATTCCCAGTAACTTCTTTGTGATGTTTGCATTCAAGTCACAGAGTTGAACATTCCCTTTCATAGAGCAGGTTTGAAACACTCTTTTTGCAGTATCTGGATGTGGACATTTGGAGCGCTTTCAGGCCTATGGTGAAAAAGGAAATATCTTCCCCTGAAAACTAGACAGAAGCATTCTCAGAAACTTATTTGTGATGTGCGCCCTCAACTAACAGTGTTGAACCTTTCTTTTGATAGAGCAGTTTTGAAACACTCTTTTTGTAATATCTGCAAGAGGATATTTGGATAGCTTTGAGGATTTCGTTGGAAACGGGATTGTCTTCATATAAACTCTAGACAGAAGCATTCTCAGAAGCTTCATTGGGATGTTTCAATTGAAGTCACAGTGTTGAACAGTCCCTTTCATAGAGCAGGTTTGAAACACTCTTTTTGTAGTATCTGGAAGTGGACATTTGGAGCGCTCTCAGGACTACGGTGAAAAAGGAAATATCTTCCAATAAAAGCTAGATAGAAGGAATGTGAGAAAATTGTTCATGATGTATCTACTCAGCTAACAGAGTTGAACCTTTCTTTTGAGACAGCAGTTTTGAAACACTCTTTTGGTGGAATCTGCAAGTGGATATTTGTCTAGCTTTGAGGATTTCGTTGGAAACGGGATTACATATAAAAAGCAGACAGCTGCATTCCCAGAAACTTCTTTGTGATGTTTGCATTCAAGTCACAGAGTTGAACATTCCCTTTCATAGAGCAGGTTTGAAACACTCTTTTTGTAGTATCTGGATGTGGACATTTGGAGCGCTTTCAGGCCTATGGTGAAAAAGGAAATATCTTCCCCTGAAAACTAGACAGAAGCATTCTCAGAATCTTATTTGTGATGTGCGCCCTCAACTAACAGAGTTGAAGCTTTCTTTTGATAGAGCAGTTTTGAAACACTCTTTTTGTAAAATCTGCAAGAGGATATTTGGATAGCTTTGAGGATTTCGTTGGAAACGGGATTGTCTTCATATAAACTCTAGACAGAAGCATTCTCAGAAGCTTCATTGGGATGTTTCAGTTGAAGTCACAGTGTTGAACAGTCCCTTTCATAGAGCAGGTTTGAAACACTCTTTTTGTAGTATCTGGAAGTGGACATTTGGAGCGCTCTCAGGACTGCGGTGAAAAAGGAAATATCTTCCAATAAAAGCTAGATAGAAGCAATGTCAGAAACTTTTTCATGATGTATCTACTCAGCTAACAGAGTTGAACCTTCCTTTGAGAGAGCAGTTTTGAAACACTCGTTTTGTGGAATCTGCAAGTGGATATTTGTCTAGCTTTGAGGATTTCGTTGGAAACGGGATTACATATAAAAAGCAGACAGCAGCATTCCCAGAAACTTCTTTGTGATGTTTGCATTCAAGTCACAGAGTTGAACATTCCCTTTCATAGAGCAGGTTTGAAACACTCTTTTTGTAGTATCTGGATGTGGACATTTGCAGCGCTTTCAGGCATAAGGTGAAAAAGGAAATATCTTCCCCTGAAAACTAGACAGAAGCATTCTCAGAAACTTATTTGTGATGTGCGCCCTCAACTAACAGTGTTGAACCTTTCTTTTGATAGAGCAGTTTTGAAACACTCTTTTTGTAGTATCTGCAAGAGGATATTTGGATAGCTTTGAGGATTTCGTTGGAAACGGGATTGTCTTCATATAAACTCTAGACAGAAGCATTCTCAGAAGCTTCATTGGGATGTTTCAATTGAAGTCACAGTGTTGAACATTTCCTTTCATAGAACAGGTTTGAAACACTCTTTTTGTAGTATCTGGAAGTGGACATTTGGAGCGCTCTCAGGACTATGGTGAAAAAGGAAATATCTTCCAATAAAAGCTACATAGAAGCAATGTCAGAAACTTTTTCATGATGTATCTACTCAGCTAACAGAGTTGAACCTTTCCTTTGAGAGAGCAGTTTTGAAACACTCTTTTTGTGGAATCTGCAAGTGGATATTTGTCTAGCTTTGAGGATTTCGTTGGAAACGGGATTACATATAAAAAGCAGACAGCAGCATTCCCAGTAACTTCTTTGTGATGTTTTCATTCAAGTCACAGAGTTGAACATTCCCTTTCATAGAGCAGGTTTGAAACACTCTTTTTGTAGTATCTGGATGTGGACATTTGGAGCGCTTTCAGACCTATGGTGAAAAAGGAAATATCTTCCCCTGAAAACTAGACAGAAGCATTCTCAGAATCTTATTTCTGATGTGCGTCCTCAACTAACAGTGTTGAAGCTTTCTTTTGATAGAGCAGTTTTGAAACACTCTTTTCGTAAAATCTGCAAGAGGATATTTTGATAGCTTTGAGGATTTCGTTGGAAACGGGATTGTCTTCATATAAACTCTAGACAGAAGCATTCTCAGAAGCTTCATTGGGATGTTTCAATTGAAGTCACAGTGTTGAACAGTCCCTTTCATAGAGCAGGTTTGAAACACTCTTTTTGAAGTATCTGGAAGTGGACATTTGGAGAGATCTCAGGAATACGGTGATAAAGGAAATATCTTCCAATAAAAGCTAGATAGAAGCAATGTCAGAAACTTTTTCATGATGCATCTACTCAGCTAACAGAGTTGAACCTTTCTTTTGAGAGAGCAGTTTTGAAACACTCTTTTTGTGGAATCTGCAAGTGGATATTTGTCTAGCTTTGAGGATTTCGTTGGAAACGGGATTACATATAAAAAGCAGACAGCAGCATTCCCAGAAACTTCTTTGTGATGTTTGCATTCAAGTCACAGAGTTGAACATTCCCTTTCATAGAGCAGGTTTGAAACACTCTTTTTGTAGTATCTGGATGTGGACATTTGGAGCGCTTTCAGGCCTATGGTGAAAAAGGAAATATCTTCCCCTGAAAACTAGACAGAAGAATTCTCAGAATCTTATTTGTGATGTGCGCCCTCAACTAACAGTGTTGAAGCTTTCTTTTGATAGAGCAGTTTTGAAAAACTCTTTTCGTAAAATCTGCAAGAGGATATTTTGATAGCTTTGAGGATTTCGTTGGAAACGGGATTGTCTTCATATAAACTCTAGACAGAAGCATTCTCAGAAGCGTCATTGGGATGTTTCAATTGAAGTCACAGTGTTGAACAGTCCCTTTCATAGAGCAGGTTTGAAACACTCTTTTTGTAGTATCTGGATGTGGACATTTGGAGCGCTTTCAGGCCTATGGTTTAAAAGGACATATCTTCCCCTGAAAACTAGACAGAAGCATTCTCAGAAACTTATTTGTGATGTGCGCCCTCAACTAACAGTGTTGAAGCTTTCTTTTGATAGAGCAGTTTTGAAACACTCTTTTTGTGGAATCTGCAAGTGGATATTTGTCTAGCTTTGAGGATTTCGTTGGAAACGGGATTACATATAAAAAGCAGACAGCAGCATTCTCAGAAACTTATTTGTGATGTGCGCCCTCAACTAACAGTGTTGAAGCTTTCTTTTGATAGAGCAGTTTTGAAACACTCTTTTTGTAATATCTGCAAGAGGATATTTGGATAGCTTTGAGGATTTCGTTGGAAACGGGATTAATTATACAAAGCAGACAGCAGCATTCTCAGAAGCTTCATTGGGATGTTTCAATTGAAGTCACAGTGTTGAACAGTCCCTTTCATAGAGCAGGTTTGAAACACTGTTTTTGTAGTATCTGGAAGTGGACATTTGGAGAGATCTCAGGAATACGGTGATAAAGGAAATATCTTCCAATAAAAGCTAGATAGAAGCAATGTGAGAAACTTTTTCATGATGTATCTACTCAGCTAAAAGAGTTGAACCTTTCTTTTGAGAGAGCAGTTTTGAAACACTCTTTTTGTGGAATCTGCAAGTGGATATTTGTCTAGCTTTGAGGACTTCTTTGGAAACGGGATTACGTATAAAAAGCAGACAGCAGCATTCCCAGAAACTTCTTTGTGATGTTTGCATTCAAGTCACAGAGTTGAACATTCCCTTTCATAGAGCAGGTTTGAAACACTCTTTTTGTAGCATCTGGATGTGGACATTTGGAGCGCTCTCAGGCCTATGGTGAAAAAGGAAATATCTTCCCCTGAAAACTAGATAGAAGCATTCTCAGAATCTTATTTGTGATGTGCGCCCTCAACTAACAGTGTTGAAGCTTTCTTTTGATAGAGCAGTTTTGAAACACTCTTTTTGTAAAATCTGCAAGAGGAGATTTGGATAGCTTTGAGGATTTCTTTGGAAACGGGATTGTCTTCATATAAACTCTAGACAGAAGCATTCTCAGAAGCGTCATTGGGATGTTTCAATTGAAGTCACAGTGTTGAACAGTCCCTTTCATAGAGCAGGTTTGAAACACTCTTTTTGTAGTATCTGGATGTGGACATTTGGAGCGCTTTCAGGCCTATGGTTTAAAAGGAAATATCTTCCCCTGAAAACTAGACAGAAGCATTCTCAGAAACTTATTTGTGATGTGCGCCCTCAACTAACAGTGTTGAAGCTTTCTTTTGATAGAGCAGTTTTGAAACACTCTTTTTGTGGAATCTGCAAGTGGATATTTGTCTAGCTTTGAGGATTTCGTTGGAAACGGGATTACATATAAAAAGCAGACAGCAGCATTCTCAGTAAACTTATTTGTGATGTGCGCCCTCAACTAACAGTGTTGAACCTTTCTTTTGATAGAGCAGTTTTGAAACACTCTTTTTGTAATATCTGCAAGAGGATATTTGGATAGCTTTGAGGATTTCGTTGGAAACGGGATTGTCTTCATATAAACTCTAGACAGAAGCATTCCCAGTAACTTCTTTGTGATGTTTGCATTCAAGTCACAGAGTTGAACATTCCCTTTCATAGAGCAGGTTTGAAACACTTTTTTTGTAGTATCTGGATGTGGACATTTGGAGCGATTTCAGGCCTATGGTGAAAAAGGAAATATCTTCCAATAAAAGCTACATAAAAGCAATGTCAGAAACTTTTTCATGATGTATCTACTCAGCTAACAGAGTTGAACCTTTCTTTTGAGAGAGCAGTTTTGAAACACTCTTTTTGTGGAATCTGGAAGTGGATATTTGTCTAGTTTTGAGGATTTCGTTGGAAACGGGATTACATATAAAAAGCAGACAGCAGCATTCCCAGTAACTTCTTTGTGATGTTTGCATTCAAGTCACAGAGTTGAACATTCCCTTTCATAGAGCAGGTTTGAAACACTCTTTTTGTAGTATCTGGATGTGGACATTTGGAGCGCTTTCAGGCCTATTGTGAAAAAGGAAATATCTTCCCCTGAAAACTAGACAGAAGAATTCTCAGAATCTTATTTGTGATGTGCGCCCTCAACTAACAGTGTTGAAGCTTTCTTTTGATAGAGCAGTTTTGAAACACTCTTTTTGTAAAATCTGCAAGAGGATATTTGGATAGCTTTGAGGATTTCGTTGGAAACGGGATTGTCTTCATATAAACTCTACACAGAAGCATTCTCAGAAGCGTCATTGGGATGTTTCAATTGAAGTCACAGTGTTGAACAGTCCCTTTCATAGAGCAGGTTTGAAACACTCTTTTTGTAGTATCTGGATGTGGACATTTGGAGCGCTTTCAGGCCTATGGTTTAAAAGGAAATATCTTCCCCTGAAAACTAGACAGAAGCATTCTCAGAAACTTATTTGTGATGTGCGCCTTCAACTAACAGTGTTGAAGCATTCTTTTGATAGAGCAGTTTTGAAACACTCTTTTTGTGGAATCTGCAAGTGGATATTTGTCTAGCTTTGAGGATTTCGTTGGAAACGGGATTACATATAAAAAGCAGACAGCAGCATTCTCAGAAACTTATTTGTGATGTGCGCCCTCAACTAACAGTGTTGAAGCTTTATTTTGATAGAGCAGTTTTGAAACACTCTTTTTGTAATATCTGCAAGAGAATATTTGGATAGCTTTGAGGATTTCGTTGGAAACGGGATTGTCTTCATATAAACTCTAGAAAGAAGCATTCTCAGAAGCTTCATTGGGATGTTTCAATTGAAGTCACAGTGTTGAACAGTCCCTTTCATAGAGCAGGTTTGAAACACTGTTTTTGTAGTATCTGGAAGTGGACATTTGGAGCGCTCTCAGGAATACGGTGATAAAGGAAATATCTTCCAATAAAAGCTAGATAGAAGCAATGTCAGAAACTTTTTCATGATGTATCTACTCAGCTAACAGAGTTGAACCTTTCCTTTGAGAGAGCAGTTTTGAAACACTCTTTTTGTGGAATCTGCAAGTGGATGTTTTCTAGCTTTGAGGATTTCGTTGGAAACGGGATTACATATAAAAAGCAGACAGCAGCATTCCCAGTAACTTCTTTGTGATGTTTTCATTCAAGTCACAGAGTTGAACATTCCCTTTCATAGAGCAGGTTTGAAACACTCTTTTTGTAGTATCTGGATGTGGACATTTGGAGCGCTTTCAGGCCTACGGTAAAAAAGGAAATATCTTCCCCTGAAAACTAGACAGAAGCATTCTCAGAAACCTATTTGTGATGTGCGCCCTCAACTAACAGTGTTTAAACTTTCTTTTGATAGAGCAGTTTTGAAACACTCTTTTTGTAATATCTGCAAGAGGATATTTGGATAGCTTTGAGGATTTCGTTGGAAACGGGATTGTCTTCATATAAACTCTAGACAGAAGCATTCTCAGAAGCTTCATTGGGATGTTTCAATTGAAGTCACAGTGTTGAACAGTCCCTTTCATAAAGCAGGTTTCAAACACTCTTTTTGTAGTATCTGGATGTGGACATTTGGAGCGCTTTCAGGCCTGTGGTTTAAAAGGAAATATCTTCCCCTGAAAACTAGACAGAAGCATTCTCAGAAACTTATTTGTGATGTGCGCCCTCAACCAACAGTGTTGAAGCTTTCTTTTGACAGAGCAGTTTTGAAACACTCTTTTTGTGGAATCTGCAAGTGGATATTTGTCTAGCTTTGAGGATTTCGTTGGAAACGGGATTACATATAAAAAGCAGACAGCAGCATTCCCAGAATCTTGTTTGTGATGTTTGCATTCAAGTCACAGAGTTGAACATTCCCTTTCAGAGAGCAGGTTTGAAACACTCTTTTTATAGTATCTGGATGTGGACATTTGGAGCGCTTTCAGGCCTATGGTGAAAAAGGAAATATCTTCTCCTGAAAACTAGACAGAAGCATTCTCAGAAACTTATTTGTGATGTGCGCCCTCAACTAACGGTGTTGAACCTTTCTTTTGATAGAGCAGTTTTGAAACACTCTTTTTGTAATATCTGCAAGAGGATATTTGGATAGCTTTGAGGATTTCGTTGGAAACGGGATTGTGTTCATATAAACTCTAGACAGAAGCATTCTCAGAAGCTTCATTGGGATGTTTCAATTGAAGTCACAGTGTTGAACAGTCCCTTTCATAGAGCAGGTTTGAAACACTCTTTTTGTAGTATCTGGAAGTGGACATTTGGAGCGCTCTCAGGACTACGGTGAAAAAGGAAGTATCTTCCAATAAAAGCTAGATAGAAGCAATGTCAGAAACTTTTTCATGATGTATCTACTCAGCAAACAGAGTTGAACCTTTCTTTTGAGAGAGCAGTTTTGAAACACTCTTTTTGTGGAATCTGCAAGTGGATATTTGTCTAGCTTTGAGGATTTCGTTGGAAACGGGATTACATATAAAAAGCAGACAGCAGCATTCCCAGAATCTTCTTTGTGATGTTTGCATTCAAGTCACAGAGTTGAACATTCCCTTTCATAGAGCAGGTTTGAAACACTCTTTTTCTAGTATCTGTATGTGGACATTTGGAGCGCTTTCAGGCCTATGGTGAAAAAGGAAATATCTTCTCCTGAAAACTAGACAGAAGCATTCTCAGAAACTTATTTGTGATGTGCGCCCTCAACTAACAGTGTTGAACCTTTCTTTTGATAGAGCAGTTTTGAAACACTCTTTTTGTAATATCTGCAAGAGGATAGTTGGATAGCTTTGAGGATTTCGTTGGAAACGGGATTGTTTTCATATAAACTCTAGACAGAAGCATTCTCAGAAGCTTCATTGGGATGTTTCAATTGAAGTCACAGTGTTGAACAGTCCCTTTGATAGAGCAGGTTTGAAACACTCTTTTTGTAGTATCTGGATGTGGACATTTGCAGCGCTTTCAGGCATAAGGTGAAAAAGGAAATATCTTCCCCTGAAAACTAGACAAAAGCATTCTCAGAAACTTATTTGTGATGTGCGCCCTCAACTAACAGTGTTGAAGCTTTCTTTTGATAGAGCAGTTTTGAAACACTCTTTTTGTGGAATCTGCAAGTGGATATTTGTCTAGCTTTGAGGATTTCGTTGGAAACGGGATTACATATAAAAAGCAGACAGCAGCATTCTCAGCAAACTTATTTGTGATGTGCGCCCTCAACTAACAGTGTGGAACTTTTCTTTTGATAGAGCAGTTTTGAAACACTCTTTTTGTAAAATCTGCAAGAGGATATTTGGATAGCTTTGAGGATTTCGTTGGAAACGGGATTGTCTTCATATAGAATCTAGACAGAAGCATTCTCAGGAAGCTTCATTGGGATGTTTCAATTGAAGTCACAGTGTTGAACAGTCCCTTTCATAGAGCAGGTTTGAAACACTCTTTTTGTAGTATCTGGAAGTGGACATTTGGAGCGCTCTCAGGACTGCGGTGAAAAAGGAAATATCTTCCAATAAAAGCTAGATAGAAGCAATGTCAGAAAATTTTTCATGATGTGTCTACTCAGCTAACAGAGTTGAACCTTTCTTGTGAGAGAGCCGTTTTGAAACACTCTTTTTGTGGAATCTGCAAGTGGATATTTGTCTAGCTTTGAGGATTTCGTTGGAAACGGGATTACATATAAAAAGCAGACAGCAGCATTCCCAGAAACTACTTTGTGATGTTTGCATTCAAGTCACAGAGATGAACATTCCCTTTCATAGAGCAGGTTTGAAACACTCTTTTTGTAGTATCTGGATGTGGACATTTGGAGCACTTTCAGGCCTATGGTGAAAAAGGAAATATCTTCCCCTGAAAACTAGACAGAAGCATTCTCAGGAATCTTATTTGTGATGTGCGCCCTCAACTAACAGTGTTGAAGCTTTCTTTTGATAGAGCAGTTTTGAAACACTCTTTTCGTAAAATCTGCAAGAGGATATTTGGATAGCTTTGAGGATTTCGTTGGAAACGGGATTGTCTTCATATAAACTCTAGACAGAAGCATTCTCAGATGCTTCATTGGGATGTTTCAATTGAAGTCACAGTATTGAACAGTCCCTTTCTTAGAGCAGGTTTGAAACACTCTTTTTGTAGTATCTGGATGTGGACATTTGGAGCGCTTTCATGCCTATGGTGAAAAAGGAAATATCTTCCCCTGAAAACTAGACAGAAGCATTCTCAGAAACTTATTTGTGATGTGCGCCCTCAACTAACAGTGTTGAAGCATTCTTTTGATAGAGCAGTTTTGAAACACTCTTTTTGTGGAATCTGCAAGTGGATATTTGTCTAGCTTTGAGGATTTCGTTGGAAACGGGATTACATATAAAAAGCAGACAGCAGCATTCTCAGAAACTTATTTGTGATGTGCGCCCTCAACTAACAGTGTTGAAGCTTTCTTTTGATAGAGCAGTTTTGAAACACTCTTTTTGTAATATCTGCAAGAGGATATTTGGATAGCTTTGAGGATTTCGTTGGAAACGGGATTAATTATACAAAGCAGACAGCAGCATTCTCAGAAGCTTCATTGGGATGTTTCAATTGAAGTCACAGTGTTGAACAGTCCCTTTCATAGAGCAGGTTTGAAACACTCTTTTTGTAGTATCTGGAAGTGGACATTTGGAGCGCTCTCAGGACTACGGTGATAAAGGAAATATCTTCCAATAAAAGCTAGATAGAAGCAATGTCAGAAACTTTTTCATGATGTATCTACTCGGCTAACAGAGTTGAACCTTTCTTTTGAGAGAGCAGTTTTGAAACACTCTTTTTGTGGAATCTGCAAGTGGATATTTGTCTAGCTTTGAGGATTTCGTTGGAAACGGGATTACATATAAAAAGCAGACAGCAGCGTTCCCAGAAACTTCTTTGTGATGTTTGCATTCAAGTCACAGAGTTGAACATTCCCTTTCATAGAGCAGGTTTGAAACACTCTTTTTGTAGTATCTGGTTGTGGACATTTGCAGCGCTTTCAGGCCTATGGTGAAAAAGGAAATATCTTCCCCTGAAAACTAGACAGAAGCATTCTCAGAAACTTATTTGTGATGTGCGCCCTCAACTAACAGTGTTGAAGCTTTCTTTTGATAGAGCAGTTTTGAAACACTCTTTTTGTAATATCTGCAAGAGGATATTTGGATAGCTTTGAGGATTTCGTTGGAAACGGGATTGTCTTCATATAAACTCTAGACAGAAGCATTCTCAGAAGCTTCATTGGGATGTTTCAATTGAAGTCACAGTGTTGAACAGTCCCTTTGATAGAGCAGGTTTGAAACACTCTTTTTGTAGTATCTGGATGTGGACATTTGCAGCGCTTTCAGGCATAAGGTGAAAAAGGAAATATCTTCCCCTGAAAACTAGACAGAAGCATTCTCAGAAACTTATTTGTGATGTGCGCCCTCAACTAACAGTGTTGAACCTTTCTTTTGATAGAGCAGTTTTGAAACACTCTTTTTGTAATATCTGCAAGAGGATATTTGGATAGCTTTGAGGATTTCGTTGGAAACGGGATTACATATAAAAAGCAGACAGCAGCATTCTCAGTAAACTTATTTGTGATGTGCGCCCTCAACTAACAGTGTTGAACCTTTCTTTTGATAGAGCAGTTTTGAAACACTCTTTTTGTAATATCTGCAAGAGGATATTTGGATAGCTTTGAGGATTTCGTTGGAAACGGGATTGTCTTCATATAAACTCTAGACAGAAGCATTCTGAGAAGCTTCATTGGGATGTTTCAATTGAAGTCACAGTGTTGAACAGTCCCTTTCATAGAGCAGGTTTGAAACACTCTTTTTGTAGTATCTGGAAGTGGACATTTGGAGCGCTCTTAGGACTACGGTGAAAAAGGAAATATCTTCCAATAAAAGCTAGATAGAAGCAATGTCAGAAACTTTTTCATGATGTATCTACTCAGCTAACAGAGTTGAACCTTCCTTTGAGAGAGCAGTTTTGAAACACTCTTTTTGTGGAATCTGCAAGTGGATATTTGTCTAGCTTTGAGGATTTCGTTGGAAACGGGATTACATATAAAAAGCAGACAGCAGCATTCCCAGAAACTTCTTTGTGATGTTTGCATTCAAGTCACAGAGTTGAACATTCCCTTTCATAGAGCAGGTTTGAAACACTCTTTTTGTAGAATCTGGATGTGGACATTTACAGCGCTTTCAGGCCTAAGGAGAAAAAGGAAATATCTTCCCCTGAAAACTAGACAGAAGCATTCTCAGAATCTTATTTGTGATGTGCGCCCTCAACTAACAGTGTTGAAGCTTTCTTTTGATAGAGCAGTTTTGAAACACTCTTTTTGTAAAATGTGCAAGAGGATATTTGGATAGCTTTGAGGATTTCGTTGGAAACGGGATTGTCTTCATATAAACTCTAGACAGAAGCATTCTCAGAAGCTTCATTGGGATGTTTCAATTGAAGTCACAGTGTTGAACAGTCCCTTTCATAGAGCAGGTTTGAAACACTCTTTTTGTAGTATCTGGAAATGGACATTTGGAGAGATCTCAGGAATACGGTGATAAAGGAAATATCTTCCAATAAAAGCTAGATAGAAGCAATGTCAGAAACTTTTTCATGATGTATCTACTCAGCTAAAAGAGTTGAACCTTTCTTTTGTGAGAGCAGTTTTGAAACACTATTTTTGTGGAATCTGCAAGTGGATATTTGTCTAGCTTTGAGGATTTCGTTGGAAACGGGATTACATATAAAAAGCAGACAGCAGCATTCCCAGAAACTTCTTTGTGAAATTTGCATTAAAGTCACAGACTTGAACATTCCCTTTCATAGAGCAGGTTTGAAACACTCTTTTTGTAGTATCTGGATGTGGACGTTTGGAGCGCTTTCAGGCCTATGGTGAAAAAGGAAATATCTTCCCCTGAAAACTATACAGAAGCATTCTCAGCAATCTTATTTGTGATGTGCGCCCTCAACTAACAGTGTTGAAGCTTTCTTTTGATAGAGCAGTTTTGAAACACTCTTTTTGTAAAATCTGCAAGAGGATATTTGGATAGCTTTGAGGATTTCGTTGGAAACGGGATTGTCTTCATATAAACTCTAGACAGAAGCATTCTCAGAAGCTTCATTGGGATGTTTCAATTGAAGTCACAGTGTTGAACAGTCACTTTCATAGAACAGGTTTGAAACACTCTTTTTGTAGTATCTGGAAGTGGACATTTGGAGCGCTCTCAGGACTACGGTGAAAAAGGAAATATCTTCCAATAAAAGCTACATAGAAGCATTCTCAGAAACTTATTTGTGATGTGCGCCCTCAACTAACAGTGTTGAAGCTTTCTTTTGATAGAGCAGTTTTGAAACACTCTTTTTGTGGAATCTGCAAGTGGATATTTGTCTAGCTTTGAGGATTTCGTTGGAAACGGGATTACATATAAAAAGCAGACAGCAGCATTCTCAGCAAACTTATTTGTGATGTGCGCCCTCAACTAACAGTGTGGAACTTTTCTTTTGATAGAGCAGTTTTGAAACACTCTTTTTGTAAAATCTGCAAGAGGATATTTGGATAGCTTTGAGGATTTCGTTGGAAACGGGATTGTCTTCATATAGAATCTAGACAGAAGCATTCTCAGAAGCTTCATTGGGATGTTTCAATTGAAGTCACAGTGTTGAACAGTCCCTTTCATAGAGCAGGTTTGAAACACTGTTTTTGTAGTATCTGGAAGTGGACATTTGGAGAGATCTCAGGAATACGGTGATAAAGGAAATATCTTCCAATAAAAGCTAGATAGAAGCAATGTCAGAAACTTTTTCATGATGTATCTACTCAGCTAACAGAGTTGAACCTTTCTTTTGAGAGAGCAGTTTTGAAACACTCTTTTTGTGTAATCTGAAAGTGGATATTTGTCTAGCTTTGAGGATTTCGTTGGAAACGGGATTACATATAAAAAGCAGACAGCAGCATTCCCAGAAACTTCTTTGTGATGTTTGCATTCAAGTCACAGAGTTGAACATTCCCTTTCATAGAGCAGGTTTGAAACACTCTTTTTGTAGTATCTGGATGTGGACATTTGCAGCGCTTTCAGGCCTAAGGTGAAAAAGGAAATATCTTCCCCTGAAAACTAGACAGAAGCATTCTCAGAAACTTATTTGTGATGTGCGCCCTCAACTAACAGTGTTGAAGCTTTCTTTTGATAGAGCAGTTTTGAAACACTCTTTTTGTGGAATCTGCAAGTGGATATTTGTCTAGCTTTGAGGATTTCGTTGGAAACGGGATTACATATAAAAAGCAGACAGCAGCATTCCCAGAATCTTCTTTGTGATGTTTGCATTCAAGTCACAGAGTTGAACATTCCCTTTCATAGAGCAGGTTTGAAACACTCTTTTTATAGTATCTGGATGTGGACATTTGGAGCGCTTTCAGGCCTATGGTGAAAAAGGAAATATCTTCTCCTGAAAAATAGACAGAAGCATTCTGAGAAGCTTCATTGGGATGTTTCAATTGAAGTCACAGTGTTGAACAGTCCCTTTCATAGAGCAGGTTTGAAACACTCTTTTTGTAGCATCTGGAAGTGGACATTTGGAGCGCTCTCAGGACTACGATGAAAAAGGAAATATCTTCCAATAAAAGCTAGATAGAAGCAATGTGAGAAACTTTTTCATGATGTATCTACTCAGCTAAAAGAGTTGAACCTTTCTTTTGAGAGAGCAGTTTTGAAACACTCTTTTTGTGGAGTCTGCAAGTGGATATTTGTCTAGCTTTGAGGATTTCTTTGGAAACGGGATTACATATAAAAAGCAGACAGCAGCATTCCCAGAAACTTCTTTGTGATGTTTGCATTCAAGTCACAGAGTTGAACATTCCCTTTCATAGAGCAGGTTTGAAACACTCTTTTTGTAGTATCTGGATGTGGACATTTGGAGCGCTCTCAGGCCTATGGTGAAAAAGGAAATATCTTCCCCTGAAAACTAGACAGAAGCATTCTCAGAAACTTATTTGTGATGTGCGCCCTCAACTAACAGTGTTGAACTTTTCTTTTGATAGAGCAGTTTTGAAACACTCTTTTTGTAAAATCTGCAAGAGGATATTTGGATAGCTTTGAGGATTTCGGTGGAAATGGGATTGTCTTCATATAAACTCTAGAGAGTAGCATTCTCAGAAGCTTCATTGGGATGTTTCAATTGAAGTCACAGTGTTGAACAGTCCCTTTCATAGAGCAGGTTTGAAACACTCTTTTTGTAGTATCTGGATGTGGACATTTGGAGCGCTTTCAGGCCTATGGTGAAAAAGGAAATATCTTCCCCTGAAAACTAGACAGAAGCATTCTCAGAAACTTACTTGTGATGTGCGCCCTCAACTAACAGTGTTGAACCTTTCTTTTGATAGAGCAGTTTTGAAACACTCTTTTTGTAATATCTGCAAGAGGATATTTGGATAGCTTTCAGGATTTCGTTGGAAACGGGATTACATATAAAAAGCAGACAGCAGCATTCTCAGAAACTTATTTGTGATGTGCGCCCTCAACTAACAGTGTTGAAGCTTTCTTTTGATAGAGCAGTTTTGAAACACTCTTTTTGTAATATCTGCAAGAGGATATTTGGATAGCTTTGAGGATTTCGTTGGAAACGGGATTAATTATACAAAGCAGACAGCAGCATTCTCAGAAGCTTCATTGGGATGTTTCAATTGAAGTCACAATGTTGAACAGTCCCTTTCATAGAGCAGGTTTGAAACACTCTTTTTGTAGTATCTGGAAGTGGACATTTGGAGAGATCTCAGGAATACGGTGATAAAGGAAATATCTTCCAATAAAAGCTAGATAGAAGCAATGTCAGAAACTTTTTCATGATGTATCTACTCAGCTAACAGAGTTGAACCTTTCTTTTGAGAGAACAGTTTTGAAACACTCTTTTTGTGGAATCTGCAAGTGGATATTTGTCTAGATTTGAGGATTTCGTTGGAAAAGGGATTACATAGAAAAAGCAGACAGCAGCATTCCCAGTAACTTCTTTGTGATGTTTGCATTCAAGTCACAGAGTTGAACATTCCCTTTCATAGAGCAGGTTTGAAACACTCTTTTTGTAGTATCTGGATGTGGACATTAGGAGCGCTTTCAGGCCTATGGTGAAAAAGGAAATATCTTCCCAAGAAAACTAGACAGAAGCATTCTCAGAATCTTATTTGTGATGTGCGCCCTCAACTAACAGTGTTGAAGCTTTCTTTTGATAGAGCAGTTTTGAAACACTCTTTTTGTAAAATCTGCAAGAGGATATTTGGATAGCTTTGAGGATTTCGTTGGAAACGGGATTGTCTTCATATAAACTCTAGACAGAAGCATTCTCAGAAGCTTCATTGGGATGTTTCAATTGAAGTCACAGTGTTGAACAGTCCCTTTCATAGAGCAGGTTTGAAACACTCTTTTTGTAGTATCTGGATGTGGACATTTGGAGCGCTTCCAGGCCTATGGTTTAAAAGGAAATATCTTCCCCTGAAAACTAGACAGAAGCATTCTCAGAAACTTATTTGTGATGTGCGCCCTCAACTAACAGTGTTGAACCTTTCTTTTGATAGAGCAGTTTTGAAACACTCTTTTTGTAATATCTGCAAGAGGATATTTGGATAGCTTTGAGGATTTCGTTGGAAACGGGATTAATTATAAAAAGCAGACAGCAGCATTCTCAGAAACTTATTTGTGATGCGCACCCTCAACTAACAGTGTTGAAGCTTTCTTTTGATAGAGCAGTTTGGAACACTCTTTTTGTAAAATCTGCAAGAGGATATTTGGATAGCTTTGAGGATTTCGGTGGAAATGGGATTGTCTTCATATAAACTCTAGACAGTAGCATTCTCAGAAGCTTCATTGGGATGTTTCAATTGAAGTCACAGTGTTGAACAGTCCCTTTCATAGAGCATGTTTGAAACACTCTTTTTGTAGTATCTGGAAGTTGACATTTGGAGCGTTTTCAGGACTACAGTGAAAAAGGAAATATCTTCCAAAGAAAGCTAGATAGAAGCAATGTCAGAAACTTTTTCATGATGTATCTACTCAGCTAACAGAGTTGAACCTTCCTTTGAGAGAGCAGTTTTGAAACACTCTTTTTGTGGAATCTGCAAGTGGATATTTGTCTAGCTTTGAGGATTTCGTTGGAAACGGGATTACATATAAAAAGCAGACAGCAGCATTCCCAGTAACTTCTTTGTGATGTTTGCATTCAAGTCACAGAGTTGAACATTCCCTTTCATAGAGCAGGTTTGAAACACTCTTTTTGTAGTATCTGGATGTGGACATTTGGAGCGCTTTCAGGCCTATGGTGAAAAAGGAAATATCTTCCCAAGAAAACTAGACAGAAGCATTCTCAGAAACTTATTTGTGATGTGCGCCCTCAACTAACAGTGTTAAACCTTTCTTTTGATAGAGTAGTTTTGAAACACTCTTTTTGTAAAATCTGCAAGAGGATATTTGGATAGCTTTGAGGATTTCGTTGGAAACGGGATTGTCTTCATATAAAATCTAGACAGAAGCATTCTCAGAAGCGTCATTGGGATGTTTCAATTGAAGTCACACTGTTGAACAGTCCCTTTCATAGAGCAGGTTTGAAACACTCTTTTTGTAGTATCTGGATGTGGACATTTGGAGCGCTTTCAGGCCTATGGTTTAAAAGGAAATATCTTCCCCTGAAAACTAGACAGAAGCATTCTCAGAAACTTATTTGTGATGTGCGCCCTCAACTAACAGTGTTGAAGCTTTCTTTTGATAGAGCAGTTTTGAAACACTCTTTTTGTGGAATCTGCAAGTGGATATTTGTCTAGCTTTGAGGATTTCGTTGGAAACGGGATTACATATAAAAAGCAGACAGCAGCATTCTCAGTAAACTTATTTGTGATGTGCGCCCTCAACTAACAGTGTTGAACCTTTCTTTTGATAGAGCAGTTTTGAAACACTCTTTTTGTAATATCTGCAAGAGGATATTTGGATAGCTTTGAGGATTTCGTTGGAAACGGGATTGTCTTCATATAAACTCTAGACAGAAGCATTCTCAGAAGCTTCATTGGGATGTTTCAATTGAAGTCACAGTGTTGAACAGTCCCTTTCATAGAGCAGGTTTGAAACACTCTTTTTGTAGTATCTGGAAGTGGACATTTGGAGAGTTCTCAGGAATACGGTGAAAAAGGAAATATCTTCCAATAAAAGCTAGATAGAAGCAATGTCAGAAACTTTTTCATGATGTATCTACTCAGCTAAAAGAGTTGAACCTTTCTTTTGTGAGAGCAGTTTTGAAACACTATTTTTGTGGAATCTGCAAGTGGATATTTGTCTAGCTTTGAGGATTTCGTTCGAAACGGGATTACATATAAAAAGCAGACAGCAGCATTCCCAGAAACTTCTTTGTGATGTTTGCATTCAAGTCACAGAGTTGAACATTCCCTTTCATAGAGCAGGTTTGAAACACTCTTTTTGTAGTATCTGGATGTGGACGTTTGGAGCGCTTTCAGGCCTATGGTGAAAAAGGAAATATCTTCCCCTGAAAACTATACATAAGCATTCTCAGAAACTTATTTGTGATGTGCGCCCTCAACTAACAGTGTTGAACCTTTCTTTTGATAGAGCAGTTTTGAAACACTCTTTTTGTAAAATCTGCAAGAGGATATTTGGATAGCTTTGAGGATTTCGTTGGAAACGGGATTGTCTTCATATAGAATCTAGACAGAAGCATTCTCAGAAGCGTCATTGGGATGTTTCAATTGAAGTCACAGTGTTGAACAGTCCCTTTCATACAGCAGGTTTGAAACACTCTTTTTGTAGTATCTGGATGTGGACATTTGGAGCGCTTTCAGGCCTATGGTTTAAAAGGAAATATCTTCCCCTGAAAACTAGACAGAAGCATTCTCAGAAACTTATTTGTGATGTGCGCCCTCAACTAACAGTGTTGAAGCATTCTTTTGATAGAGCAGTTTTGAAACACTCTTTTTGTGGAATCTGCAAGTGGATATTTGTCTAGCTTTGAGGATTTCGTTGGAAACGGGATTACATATGAAAAGCAGACAGCAGCATTCCCAGAAACTTCTTTGTGATGTTTGCATTCAACTCACAGAGTTGAACATTCCCTTTCATAGAGCAGGTTTGAAACACTCTTTTTGTAGTATCTGGATGTGGACATTTGGAGCGCTTTCAGGCCTATGGTGAAAAAGGAAATATCTTCCCCTGAAAACTAGACAGAAGCATTCTCAGAAACTTATTTGTGATGTGCGCCCTCAACTAACAGTGTTGAAGCTTTCTTTTGATAGAGCAGTTTTGAAACACTCTTTTTGTAATATCTGCAAGAGGATATTTGGATAGCTTTGAGGATTTCGTTGGAAACGGGATTAATTATAAAAAGCAGACAGCTAAGCATTCTCCGAAACTTATTTGTGATGGGCGCCCTCAACTAACAGTGTTGAAGCTTTCTTTTGATAGAGCAGTTTTGAAACACTCTTTTTGTAATATCTGCAAGAGGATATTTGGATAGCTTTCAGGATTTCGTTGGAAACGGGATTGTCTTCATATAAACTCTAGACATAAGCATTCTCAGAAGCTTCATTGGGATGTTTCAATTGAAGTCACAGTGTTGAACAGTCCCTTTCATAGAGCAGGTTTGAAAAACTCATTTTGTAGTATCTGGAAGTGGACATTTGGAGCGCTCTCAGGACTACGGTGAAAAAGGAAATATCTTCCAATAAAAGCTAGATAGAAGCAATGTCAGAAACATTTTCATGATGTATCTACTCAGCTAACAGAGTTGAACCTTTCTTTTGAGAGAGCAGTTTTGAAACACTCTTTTTGTGGAATCTGCAAGTGGAAATTTGTCTAGATTTGAGGATTTCGTTGGAAACGGGATTACATATAAAAAGCAGACAGCAGCATTCCCAGAAACTTCTTTGTGATGTTTGTATTCAAGTCACAGAGTTGAACATTCACTTTCATAGAGCAGGTTTGAAACACTCTTTTTGTAGTATCTGGATGTGGACATTTGGAGCGCTTTCAGGCCTATGGTGAAAAAGGAAATATCTTCCCCTGAAAACTAGACAGAAGCATTCTCAGAATCTTATTTGTGATGTGCGCCCTCAACTAACAGTGTTGAAGCTTTCTTTTGATAGAGCAGTTTTGAAACACTCTTTTTGTAAAATCTGCAAGAGGATATTTGGATAGCTTTGAGGATTTCGTTGGAAACGGGATTGTCTTCATATAAACTCTAGACAGAAGCATTCTCAGAAGCTTCATTGGGATGTTTCAACAGAAGTCACAGTGTTGAACAGTCCCTTTCATAGAGCAGGTTTGAAACACTCTTTTTGTAGTATGTGGAAGTGGACATTTGGAGAGTTCTCAGGAATACCATGAAAAAGGAAATATCTTCCAATAAAAGCTAGATAGAAGCAATGTCAGAAACTTTTTCATGATGTATCTACTCAGCAAACAGAGTTGAACCTTTCTTTTGAGAGAGCAGTTTTGAAACACTCTTTTTGTGGAATCTGCAAGTGGATATTTGTCTAGCTTTGAGGATTTCGTTGGAAACGGGATTACATATAAAAAGCAGACAGCAGCATTCCCAGAAACTTCTTTGTGATGTTTGCATTCAAGTCACACAGTTGAACATTCCCTTTCATAGAGCAGGTTTGAAACACTCTTTTTGTAGTATCTGGATGTGGACATTTGGAGCTCTTTCAGGCCTATCGTGAAAAAGGAAATATCTTCCCCTGAAAAGTAGACAGAAGCATTCTCAGAAACTTATTTGTGATGTGCGCCCTCAACTAACAATGTTGAACCTTTCTTTTGATAGAGTAGTTTTGAAACACTCTTTTTGTAAAATCTGCAAGAGGATATTTGGATAGCTTTGAGGATTTCGTTGGAAACGGGATTGTCTTCATATAAACTCTTGAAAGTAGCATTCTCAGAAGCGTCATTGGGATGTTTCAATTGAAGTCACAGTGTTGAACAGTCCCTTTCATAGAGCAGGTTTGAAACACTCTTTTTGTAGTATCTGGATGTGGACATTTGGAACGCTTTCAGGCCTATGGTTTAAAAGGAAATATCTTCCCCTGAAAACTAGACAGAAGCATTCTCAGAATCTTATTTGTGATGTGCGCCATCAACTAACAGTGTTGAAGCTTTCTTTTGATAGAGCAGTTTTGAAACACTCTTTTGGTGGAATCTGCAAGTGGATATTTGTCTAGCTTTGAGGATTTCGTTGGAAACGGGATTACATATAAAAAGCAGACAGCAGCATTCTCAGTAAACTTATTTGTGATGTGCGCCCTCAACTAACAGTGTTGAACCTTTCTTTTGATAGAGCAGTTTTGAAACACTCTTTTTGTAATATCTGCAAGAGGATATTTGGATAGCTTTGAGGATTTCGTTGGAAACGGGATTGTCTTCATATAAACTCTAGACAGAAGCATTCTCAGAAGCTTCATTGGGATGTTTCAATTGAAGTCACAGTGTTGAACAGTTCCTTTCATAGAACAGGTTTGAAACACTCTTTTTGTAGTATCTGGAAGTGGACATTTGGAGCGCTCCCAGGACTATGGTGAAAAAGGAAATATCTTCCAATAAAAGCTACATAGAAGCAATGTCAGAAACTTTTTCATGATGTATCTACTCAGCTAACAGAGTTGAACCTTTCCTTTGAGAGAGCAGTTTTGAAACACTCTTTTTGTGGAATCTGCAAGTGGATATTTGTCTAGCTTTGAGGATTTCGTTGGAAACGGGATTACATATAAAAAGCAGACAGCAGCATTCCCAGTAACTTCTTTGGGATGTTTGCATTCAAGTCACAGAGTTGAACATTCCCTTTCATAGAGCAGGTTTGAAACACTCTTTTTGAAGTATCTGGATGTGGACATTTGGAGCGCTTTCAGGCCTATGGTGAAAAAGGAAATATCTTCCCCTGGAAACTAGACAGAAGCATTCTCAGAAACTTATTTGTGATGTGCACCCTCAACTAACAGTGTTGAAGCTTTCTTTTGATAGAGCAGTTTTGAAACACTCTTTTTGTAAAATCTGCAAGAGGATATTTGGATAGCTTTGAGGATTTCGTTGGAAACGGGATTGTCTTCATATAAACTCTAGACAGTAGCATTCTCAGAAGCTTCATTGGGATGTTTCAATTGAAGTCACAGTGTTGAACAGTCCCTTTCATAGAGCAGGTTTGAAACACTCTTTTTGTAGAATCTGGATGTGGACATTTGGAGCGCTTTCAGGCATAAGGTGAAAAAGGAAATATCTTCCCCTGAAAACTAGACAGAAGCATTCTCAGAAACTTATTTGTGATGTGCGCCCTCAACTAACAGTGTTGAAGCATTCTTTTGATAGAGCAGTTTTGAAACACTCTTTTTGTGGAATCTGCAAGTGGATATTTGTCTAGCTTTGAGGATTTCGTTGGAAACGGGATTACATATAAAAAGCAGACAGCAGCATTCTCAGCAAACTTATTTGTGATGTGCGCCCTCAACTAACAGTGTGGAACTTTTCTTTTGATAGAGCAGTTTTGAAACACTCTTTTTGTAAAATCTGCAAGAGGATATTTGGATAGCTTTGAGGATTTCGTTGGAAACGGGATTGTCTTCATATAGAATCTAGACAGAAGCATTCTCAGAAGCTTCATTGGGATGTTTCAATTGAAGTCACAGTGTTGAACAGTCCCTTTCATAGAGCAGGTTTGAAACACTCTTTTTGTAGTATCTGGAAGTGGACATTTGGAGCGCTCTTAGGACTACGGTGAAAAAGGAAATATCTTCCAATAAAAGCTAGATAGAAGCAATGTCAGAAACTTTTTCATGATGTATCTACTCAGCTAACAGAGTTGAACCTTTCTTTTGAGAGAGCAGTTTTGAAACACTCTTTTTGTGGAATCTGCAAGTGGATATTTGTCTAGCATTGAGGATTTCGTTGGAAACGGGATTACATATAAAAAGCAGACAGCAGCATTCCCAGAATCTTGTTTGTGATGTTTGCATTCAAGTCACAGAGTTGAACATTCCCTTTCATAGAGCAGGTTTGAAACACTCTTTTTGTAGTATCTGGATGTGGACATTTGGAGCGCTTTCAGGCCTATGGTGAAAAAGGAAATATCTTCCCCTGAAAACTAGACAGAAGCATTCTCAGAATCTTATTTGTGATATGCGCTCTCAACTAACAGTGTTGAAGCTTTCTTTTGATAGAACAGTTTTGAAACACTCTTTTTGTAAAATCTGCAAGAGGATATTTGGATAGCTTTGAGGATTTCGTTGGAAACGGGATTGTCTTCATATAAACTCTAGACAGAAGCATTCTCAGAAGCTTCATTGGGATTTTTCAATTGAAGTCTCAGTGTTGAACAGTCCCTTTCATAGAGCAGGTTTGAAACACTCTTTTTGTAGTATCTGGAAGTGGACATTTGGAGAGATCTCAGGAATACGGTGATAAAGGAAATATCTTCCAATAAAAGCTAGATAGAAGCAATGTCAGAAACTTTTTCATGATGTATCTACTCACCTAACAGAGTTGAACCTTTCTTTTGAGAGAGCAGTTTTGAAACATTCTTTTTGTGGAATCTGCAAGTGTATATTTGTCTAGCTTTGAGGATTTCGTTGGAAACGGGATTACATATAAAAAGCAGACAGCAGCATTCCCAGTAACTTCTTTGTGATGTTTGCATTCAAGTCACAGAGTTGAACATTCCCTTTCATAGAGCAGGTTTGAAACACTCTTTTTGTAGTATCTGGATGTGGACATTTGGAGCGCTTTCAGGCCTATGGTGAAAAAGGAAATATCTTCTCCTGAAAACTAGACAGAAGCATTCTCAGAATCTTATTTGTGATGTGCGCCCTCAACTAACAGTGTTGAAGCTTTCTTTTGATAGAGCAGTTTTGAAACACTCTTTTTGTAAAATCTGCAAGAGGATATTTGGATAGCTTTGAGGATTTCGTTGGAAACGGGATTGTCTTCATATAAACTCTAGACAGAAGCATTCTCAGAAGCTTCATTGGGATGTTTCAATTGAAGTCACAGTGTTGAACAGTCCCTTTCATAGAGCAGGTTTGAAACACTCTTTTTGTAGTATCTGGAAGTGGACATTTGGAGAGATCTCAGGAATACGGTGAAAAAGGAAATATCTTCTCCTGAAAACTAGACAGAAGCATTCTCAGAAACTTATTTGTGATGTGCGCCCTCAACTAACAGTGTTGAAGCTTTCTTTTGATAGAGCAGTTTTGAAACACTCTTTTTGTAATATCTGCAAGAGGATATTTGGATAGCTTTGAGGATTTCGTTGGAAACGGGATTGTCTTCATATAAACTCTAGACAGAAGCATTCTCAGAAGCTTCATTGGGATGTTTCAATTGAAGTCACAGTGTTGAACAGTCCCTTTCATAGAGCAGGTTTGAAACACTCTTTTTGTAGTATCTGGAAGTGGACATTTGGAGCGCTCTCAGGACTACGGTGATAAAGGAAATATCTTCCAATAAAAGGTAGATAGAAGCATTCTCAGAAACTTATTTGTGATGTGCGCCCTCAACTAACAGTGTTGAACCATTCTTTTGATAGAGCAGTTTTGAAACACTCTTTTTGTAATATCTGCAAGAGGATATTTGGATAGCTTTGAGGATTTCGTTGGAAACGGGATTACATATGAAAAGCAGACAGCAGCATTCTCAGAATCTTATTTGTGATGTGCGCCCTCAACTAACAGTGTTGAAGCTTTCTTTTGATAGAGCAGTTTTGAAACACTCTTTTTGTAAAATCTGCAAGACGATATTTGGATAGCTTTGAGGATTTCGTTGGAAACGGGATTGTCTTCATATAAACTCTAGACAGAAGCATTCTCAGAAGCTTCATTGGGATGTTTCAATTGAAGTCACAGTGTTGAACAGTCCCTTTCATAGAGCAGGTTTGAAACACTCTTTTTGTAGTATCTGGAAGTGGACATTTGGAGCGCTCTCAGGACTGCGGTTAAAAAGGAAATATCTTCCAATAAAAGCTACATAGAAGCAATGTCAGAATCTTTTTCATGATGTGTCTACTCAGCTAACAGAGTTGAACCTTCCTTTGAGAGAGCAGTTTTGAAACACTCTTTTTGTGGAATCTGCAAGTGGATATTTGTCTAGCTTTGAGGATTTCGTTGGAAACGGGATTACATATAAAAAGCAGACAGCAGCATTCCCAGAAACTTCTTTGTGATATTTGCATTCAAGTCACAGAGTTGAACATTCCCTTTCATAGAGCAGGTTTGAAACACTCTTTTTGTAGTATCTGGATGTGGACATTTGGAGCGCTTTCAGGCCTATGGTGAAAACGGAAATATCTTCCCCTGAAAACTAGACAGAAGCATTCTCAGAAACTTATTTGTGATGTGCGCCCTCAACTAACAGTGTTGAAGCTTTCTTTTGATAGAGCAGTTTTGAAACACTCTTTTTGTAAAATCTGCAAGAGGATATTTGGATAGCTTTGAGGATTTCGGTGGAAACGGGATTGTCTTCATATAAACTCTAGACAGAAGCATTCTCAGAAGCTTCATTGGGATGTTTCAGTTGAAGTCACAGTGTTGAACAGTCCCTTTCATAGAGCAGGTTTGAAACACTCTTTTTGTAGTATCTGGAAGTGGACATTTTGAGAGATCTCAGGAATACGGTGATAAAGGAAATATCTTCCAATAAAAGCTAGATAGAAGCAATGTCAGAAACTTTTTCATGATGTATCTACTCAGCTAACAGAGTTGAACCTTTCTTTTGAGAGAGCAGTTTTGAAACACTCTTTTTGTGGAAACTGCAAGTGGATATTTGTCTAGCTTTGAGGATTTCGTTGGAAACGGGATTACATATAAAAAGCAGACAGCAGCATTCCCAGAAACTTCTTTGTGATGTTTGCATTCAAGTCACAGAGTTGAACATTCCCTTTCATAGAGCAGGTTTGAAACACTCTTTTTGTAGTATCTGGATGTGGACATTTGGAGCGCTTTCAGGCCTATGGTGAAAAAGGAAATATCTTCCCCTGAAAACTAGACAGAAGCATTCTCAGAATCTTATTTGTGATGTCCGCCCTCAACTAACAGTGTTGAAGCTTTCTTTTGATAGAGCAGTTTTGAAACACTCTTTTTGTAAAATCTGCAAGAGGATATTTGGATAGCTTTGAGGATTTCGTTGGAAACGGGATTGTCTTCATATAAACTCTAGACAGAAGCATTCTCAGAAGCGTCATTGGGATGTTTCAATTGAAGTCACAGTGTTGAACAGTCCCTTTCATAGAGCAGGTTTGAAACACTCTTTTTGTAGTATCTGGATGTGGACATTTGGAGCGCTTTCAGGCCTATGGTTTAAAAGGAAATATCTTCCCTTGAAAACTAGACAGAAGCATTCTCAGAAACTTATTTGTGATGTGCGCCCTCAACTAACAGTGTTGAAGCTTTCTTTTGATAGAGCAGTTTTGAAACACTCTTTTTGTGGAATCTGCAAGTGGATATTTGTCTAGCTTTGAGGATTTCGTTGGAAACGGGATTACATATAAAAAGCAGACAGCAGCATTCTCAGAAACTTATTTGTGATGTGCGCCCTCAACTAACAGTGTTGAAGCTTTCTTTTGATAGAGCAGTTTTGAAACACTCTTTTTGTAATATCTGCAAGAGGATATTTGGATAGCTTTGAGGATTTCGTTGGAAACGGGATTAATTATACAAAGCAGACAGCAGCATTCTCAGAAGCTTCATTGGGATGTTTCAATTGAAGTCACAGTGTTGAACAGTTCCTTTCATAGAACAGGTTTGAAACACTCTTTTTGTAGTATCTGGAAGTGGACATTTGGAGCGCTCTCAGGACTATGGGGAAAAAGGAAATATCTTCCAATAAAAGCTACATAGAAGCAATGTCAGAAACTTTTTCATGATGTATCTACTCAGCTAACAGAGTTGAACCTTTCCTTTGAGAGAGCAGTTTTGAAACACTCTTTTTGTGGAATCTGCAAGTGGATATTTGTCTAGCTTTGAGGATTTCGTTGGAAACGGGATTACATATAAAAAGCAGACAGCAGCATTCCCAGTAACTTCTTTGTGATGTTTGCATTCAAGTCACAGAGTTGAACATTCCCTTTCATAGAGCAGGTTTGAAACACTCTTTTTGAAGTATCTGGATGTGGACATTTGGAGCGCTTTCAGGCCTATGGTGAAAAAGGAAATATCTTCCCCTGAAAACTAGACAGAAGCATTCTCAGAAACTTATTTGTGATGTGCGCCCTCAACTAACAGTGTTGAACCTTTCTTTTGATAGAGCAGTTTTGAAACACTCTTTTTGTAAAATCTGCAAGAGGATATTTGGATAGCTTTGAGGATTTCATTGGAAACGGGATTGTCTTCATATAAACTCTAGACAGAAGCATTCTCAGAAGCGTCATTGGGATGTTTCAATTGAAGTCACAGTGTTGAACAGTCCCTTTCATAGAGCAGGTTTGAAACACTCTTTTTGTAGTATCTGGATGTGGACATTTGGAGCGCTTTCAGGCCTATGGTTTAAAAGGAAATATCTTCCCTTGAAAACTAGACAGAAGCATTCTCAGAAACTTATTTGTGATGTGCGCCCTCAACTAACAGTGTTGAAGCATTCTTTTGATAGAGCAGTTTTGAAACACTCTTTTTGTGGAATCTGCAAGTGGATATTTGTCTAGCTTTGAGGATTTCGTTGGAAACGGGATTACATATAAAAAGCAGACAGCAGCATTCTCAGTAAACTTATTTGTGATGTGCGCCCTCAACTAACAGTGTTGAACCTTTCTTTTGATAGAGCAGTTTTGAAACACTCTTTTTGTAATATCTGCAAGAGGATATTTGGATAGCTTTGAGGATTTCGTTGGAAACGGGATTGTCTTCATATAAACTCTAGACAGATGCATTCTCAGAAGCTTCATTGGGATGTTTCAATTGAAGTCACAGTGTTGAACAGTCCCTTTCATAGAGCAGGTTTGAAACACTCTTTTTGTAGCATCTGGAAGTGGACATTTGGAGCGTTCTCAGGACTACGGTGAAAAAGGAAATATCTTCCAATAAAAGCTAGATAGAAGCAATGTCAGAAACTTTTTCATGATGTATCTACTCAGCTAACAGAGTTGAACCTTTCTTTTGAGAGAGCAGTTTTGAAACACTCTTTTTGTGAAATCTGCAAGTGGATATTTGTCTACCTTTGAGGATTTCGTTGGAAACGGGATTACATATAAAAAGCAGACAGCAGCATTCCCAGAAACTTCTTTGTGATGTTTGCATTCAAGTCACAGAGTTGAACATTCCCTTTCATAGAGCAGGTTTGAAACACTCTTTTTGTAGTATCTGGATGTGGACATTTGCAGCGCTTTCAGGCCTAAGGTGAAAAAGGAAATATCTTCCCCTGAAAACTAGACAAAAGCATTCTCAGAAACTTATTTGTGATGTGCACCCTCAACTAACAGTGTTGAAGCTTTCTTTTGACAGAGCAGTTTGAAACACTCTTTTTGTAAAATCTGCAAGAGGATATTTGGATTGCTTTGAGGATTTCGGAGGAAATGGGATTGTCTTCATATAAACTCTAGACAGTAGCATTCTCAGAAGCTTCATTGGGATGTTTCAATTGAAGTCACAGTGTTGAACAGTCCCTTTCATAGAGCAGGTTTGAAACACTCTTTTTGTAGTATCTGGAAGTGGACATTTGGAGCGCTCTCAGGACTACGGTGAAAAAGGAAGTATCTTCCAATAAAAGCTAGATAGAAGCAATGTCAGAAACTTTTTCATGACGTATCTACTCAGCTAACAGAGTTAAACCTTTCTTTTGAGAGAGCAGTTTTGAAACACTCTTTTTGTGGAATCTGCAAGTGGATATTTGTCTAGCTTTGAGGATTTCGTTGGAAACGGGATTACATATAAAAAGCAGACAGCAGCATTCCCAGTAACTTCTTTGTGATGTTTGCATTCAAGTCACAGAGTTGAACATTCCCTTTCATAGAGCAGGTTTGAAACACTCTTTTTGTAGTATCTGGATGTGGACATTTGGAGCGCTTTCAGGCCTATGGTGAAAAAGGAAATATCTTCCCCTGAAAACTAGACAGAAGCATTCTCAGAATCTTATTTGTGATGTGCGCCCTCAAGTAACAGTGTTGAACCTTTCTTTTGATAGAGCAGTTTTGAAACAATCTTTTTGTAAAATCTGCAAGAGGATATTTGGATAGCTTTGAGGATTTCGTTGGAAACGGGATTGTCTTCATATAAACTCTAGACAGAAGCATTCTCAGAAGCTTCATTGGGATGTTTCAATTGAAGTCACAGTGTTGAACAGTCCCTTTCATAGAGCAGGTTTGAAACACTCTTTTTGTAGTATCTGGATGTGGACATTTGGAGCGCTTTCAGGCCTATGGTGAAAAAGGAAATATCTTCCCCTGAAAACTAGACAGAAGCATTCTCAGGAACTTATTTGTGATGTGCGCCCTCAACTAACAGTGTTGAAGCTTTCTTTTGATAGAGCAGTTTTGAAACACTCTTTTTGTGGAATCTGCAAGTGGATATTTGTCTAGCTTTGAGGATTTCGATGGAAACGGGATTACATATAAAAAGCAGACAGCAGCATTCCCAGTAACTTCTTTGTGATGTTTGCATTCAAGTCACAGACTTGAACATTCCCTTCCATAGAGCGTGTTTGAAACACTCTTTTTGTAGTATCTGGATGTGGACATTTGGAGCGCTTTCAGGCCTATGGTGAAAAAGGAAATATCTTCCTCTGAAAACTAGACAGTAGCATTCTCAGAATCTTATTTGTGATGTGCGCCCTCAACTAACAGTGTTGAAGCTTTCTTTTGATAGAGCAGTTTTGAAACACTCTTTTTGTAAAATCTGCAAGAGGATATTTGGATAGCTGTGAGGATTTCGTTGGAAACGGGATTGTCTTCATATAAACTCTAGACAGAAAGCAATGTCAGAAACTTTTTCATGATGTATCTACTCAGCTAACAGAGTTGAACCTTTCTTTTGAGAGAGAAGTTTTGAAACACTCTTTTTGTGGAATCTGCAAGTGGATATTTGTCTAGCTTTGAGGATTTCGTTGGAAACGGGTTTACATATAAAAAGCAGACAGCAGCATTCCCAGAATCTTCTTTGTGATGTTTGCATTCAAGTCACAGAGTTGAACATTCCCTTTCATAGAGCAGGTTTGAAACACTCTTTTTGTAGTATCTGGATGTGGACATTTGGAGCGCTTTCAGGCCTATGGTGAAAAAGGAAATATCTTCCCCTGAAAACTAGACAGAAGCATTCTCAGAAACTTATTTGTGATGTGTGCCCTCAACTAACAGTGTTGAAGCTTTCTTTTGATAGAGCAGTTTTGAAACACTCTTTTTGTAATATCTGCAAGAGGATATTTGGATAGCTTTGAGGATTTCGTTGGAAACGGGATTGTCTTCATATAAACTCTAGACAGAAGCATTCTCAGAAGCTTCATTGGGATGTTTCAATTGAAGTCACAGTGTTGAACAGTTCCTTTCATAGAACAGGTTTGAAACACTCTTTTTGTAGTATCTGGAAGTGGACATTTGGAGCGCTCTCAGGACTACGGTGAAAATGGAAATATCTTCCAATAAAAGCTACATAGAAGCAATGTCAGAAACTTTTTCATGATGTATCTACTCAGCTAACAGAGTTGAACCTTTCCTTTGAGAGAGCAGTTTTGAAACACTCTTTTTGTGGAATCTGCAAGTGGATATTTGTCTAGCTTTGAGGATTTCGTTGGAAACGGGATTACATATACAAAGCAGACAGCAGCATTCCCAGAAACTTCTTTGTGAAATTTGCATTCAAGTCACAGACTTGAACATTCCCTTTCATAGAGCAGGTTTGAAACACTCTTTTTGTAGTATCTGGATGTGGACGTTTGGAGCGCTTTCAGGCCTATGGTGAAAAAGGAAATATCTTCCCCTGAAAACTATACAGAAGCATTCTCAGAAACTTATTTGTGATGTGCGCCCTCAACTAACAGTGTTGAACCTTTCTTTTGATAGAGCAGTTTTGAAACACTCTTTTTGTAAAATCTGCAAGAGGATATTTGGATAGCTTTGAGGATTTCGTTGGAAACGGGATTGTCTTCATATAGAATCTAGACAGAAGCATTCTCAGAAGGTTCATTGGGATGTTTCAATTGAAGTCACAGTGTTGAACAGTCACTTTTATAGAGCAGGTTTGAAACACTCTTTTTGTAGCATCTGGAAGTGGACATTTGGAGCGCTCTCAGGACTACGGTGAAAAAGGAAATATCTTCCAATAAAAGCTAGATAGAAGCAATGTCAGAAACTTTTTCATGATGTATCTACTCAGCTAAAAGAGTTGAACCTTTCTTTTGTGAGAGCAGTTTTGAAACACTATTTTTGTGGAATCTGGAAGTGGATATTTGTCTAGCTTTGAGGATTTCGTTGGAAACGGGATTACATATAGAAAGCAGACAGCAGCGTTCCCAGAAACTTCTTTGTGAAATTTGCATTCAAGTCACAGACTTGAGCATTCCCTTTCATAGAGCAGGTTTGAAACACTCTTTTTGTAGTATCTGGATGTGGACGTTTGGAGCGCTTTCAGGCCTATGGTGAAAAAGGAAATATCTTCCCCTGAAAACTATAGAGAAGCATTCTCAGAATCTTATTTGTGATGTGCGCCCTCAAATAACAGTGTTGAAGCTTTCTTTTGATAGAGCAGTTTTGAAACACTCTTTTTGTAAAATCTGCAAGAGGATATTTGGATAGCTTTGAGGATTTCATTGGAAACGGGATTGTCTTCATATAAACTCTAGACAGAAGCATTCTCAGAAGCTTCATTGGGATGTTTCAATTGAAGTCACAGTGTTGAACAGTCCCTTTCATAGAGCAGGTTTGAAACACTCTTTTTGTAGTATCTGGAAGTGGACATTTGGAGCGCTCTCAGGACTACGGTGAAAAAGGAAATATCTTCCAATAAAAGCTACATAGAAGCAATGTCAGAAACTTTTTCATGATGTATCTACTCAGCTAACAGAGTTGAACCTTTCTTTTGAGAGAGCAGTTTTGAAACACTCATTTTGTGGAATCTGGAAGTGGATACTTGTCTAGATTTGAGGATTTCGTTGGAAACGGGATTACATATAAAAAGCAGACAGCAGCATTCCCAGAAACTTCTTTGTGATATTTGCATTCAAGTCACAGACTTGAACATTCCCTTTCATAGAGCAGGTTTGAAACACTCTTTTTGTAGTATCTGGATGTGGACATTTGGAGCGCTTTCAGGCCTATGGTGAAAAAGGAAATATCTTCCCCTGAAAACTAGACAGAAGCATTCTCAGAAACTTATTTGTGATGTGCGCCCTCAACTAACAGTGTTGAAGCTTTCTTTTGATAGAGCAGTTTTGAAACACTCTTTTTGTAAAATCTGCAAGAGGATATTTGGATAGCTTTGAGGATTTCGTTGGAAATGGGATTGTCTTCATATACAATCTAGACAGAAGCATTCTCAGAAGCTTCGTTCGGATGTTTCAATTGAAGTCACAGTGTTGAACAGTCCCTTTCGTAGAGCAGGTTTGAAACACTCTTTTTGTAATATCTGGAAGTGGACATTTGGAGCGTTCTCAGGACTATGGTGAAAAAGGAAATATCTTCCAATAAAAGCTAGATAGAAGCAATGTCAGAAACTTTTTCATGATGTATCTACTCAGCTAACAGAGTTGAACCTTTCTTTTGAGAGAGCCGTTTTGAAACACTCTTTTTGTGGAATCTGCAAGTGGATATTTGTCTAGCTTTGAGGATTTCGTTGGAAACGGGATTACATATAAAAAGCAGACAGCAGCATTCCCAGAAACTTCTTTGTGATGTTTGCATTCAAGTCACAGAGTTGAACATTCCCTTTCATAGAGCAGGTTTGAAACACTCTTTTTGTAGTATCTGGATGTGGACATTTGGAGCGCTTTCAGGTCTATGGTGAAAAAGGAAATATCTTCCCCTGAAAACTAGACAGAAGCATTCTCAGAATCTTATTTGTGATGTGCACCCTCAACTAACAGTGTTGAACCTTTCTTTTGATAGAGCAGTTTTGAAACACTCTTTTTGTAAAATCTGCAATAGGATATTTGGTTAGCTTTGAGGATTTCGTTGGAAACGGGATTGTCTTCATATAAAATCTAGACAGAAGCATTCTCAGAAGCTTCATTGGGATGTTTCAATTGAAGTCACAGTGTTGAACAGTCCCTTTCATAGAGCAGGTTTGAAACACTCTTTTTGTAGTATCTGGATGTGGACATTTGGAGCGCTTTCAGGCCTATGGTGAAAAAGGAAATATCTTCCCCTGAAAACTAGACAGAAGCATTCTCAGAAACTTATTTGTGATGTGCGCCCTCAACTAACAGTGCTGAAGCATTCTTTTGATAGAGCAGTTTTGAAACACTGTTTTTGTGGAATCTGGAAGTGGATATTTGTCTAGCTTTGAGGATTTCGTTGGAAACGGGATTACATATAAAAAGCAGACAGCAGCATTCTCAGTAAACTTATTTGTGATGTGCGCCCTCAACTAACAGTGTTGAACCTTTCTTTTGATAGAGCAGTTTTGAAACACTCTTTTTGTAATATCTGCAAGAGGATATTTGGATAGCTTTGAGGATTTCGTTGGAAACGGGATTGTCTTCATATAAACTCTAGACAGAAGCATTCTCAGAAGCTTCATTGGGATGTTTCAATTGAAGTCACAGTGTTGAACAGTTCCTTTCATAGAACAGGTTTGAAACACTCTTTTTGTAGTATCTGGAAGTGGACATTTGGAGCGCTCTCAGGACTGCGGTGAAAAAGGAAATATCTTCCAATAAAAGCTAGATAGAAGCAATGTCAGAAAATTGTTCATGATGTATCTACTCAGCTAATAGAGTTGAACTTTTCTTTTGAGAGAGCAGTTTTGAAACACTCTTTTTGTGGAATCTGCAAGTGGATATTTGTCTAGCTTTGAGGATTTCGTTGGAAACGGGATTACATATAAAAAGCAGACAGCAGCATTCCCAGAAACTTCTTTGTGAAGTTTGCATTCAAGTCACAGAGTTGAACATCCCCTTTCATAGAGCAGGTTTGAAACACTCTTTTTGTAGTATCTGGATGTGAACATTTGGAGGGCTTTCTGGCCTATGGTGAAAAAGGAAATATCTTCCCCTGAAAACTAGACAGAAGCGTTCTCAGAAACTTATTTGTGATGTGCGCCCTCAACTAACAGTGTTAAACCTTTCTTTTGATAGAGTAGTTTTGAAACACTCTTTGTAAAATCTGCAAGAGGATATTTTGATAGCTTTGAGGATTTCTTTGGAAACGGGATTGTCTTCATATAAAATCTAGACAGAAGCATTCTCAGAAGCTTCATTGGGATGTTTCAATTGAAGTCACAGTGTTGAACAGTCCCTTTCATAGAGCATGTTTGAAACACTCTTTTTGTAGTATCTGGAAGTTGACATTTGGAGCGTTTTCAGGACTACGGTGAAAAAGGAAATATCTTCCAAATAAAGCTAGATAGAAGCAATGTCAGAAAATTTTTCATGATGTATCTACTCAGCTAACAGAATTTAACCTTTCTTTTGAGAGAGCAGTTTTGAAACACTCTTTTTGTGGAATCTGCAAGTGGATATTGGTCTAGGTTTGAGGATTTCGTTGGAAACGGGATTACATATAAAAAGCAGACAGCAGCATTCCCAGAAACTTCTTTGTGATATTTGCATTCAAGTCACAGACTTCAACATTCCCTTCCATAGAGGAGGTTTGAAACACTCTTTTTGTAGTATCTGGATGTGGACATTTGGAGCGCTTTCAGGCCTATGGTGAAAAAGGAAATATCTTCCCCTGAAAACTAGACAGAAGCATTCTCAGAATCTTATTTGTGATGTGCGCCCTCGACTAACAGTGTTGAAGCTTTCTTTTGATAGAGCAGTTTTGAAACACTCTTTTTGTAAAATCTGCAAGAGGATATTTGGATAGCTTTGAGGATTTCTTTGGAAACGGGATTGTCTTCATATAAACTCTAGACAGAAGCATTCTCAGAAGCGTCATTGGGATGTTTCAATTGAAGTCACAGTGTTGAACAGTCCCTTTCATAGAGCAGGTTTGAAACACTCTTTTTGTAGTATCTGGATGTGGACATTTGGAGCGCTTTCAGGCCTATGGTTTAAAAGGAAATATCTTCCCCTGAAAACTAGACAGAAGCATTCTCAGAAACTTATTTGTGATGTGCGCCCTCAACTAACAGTGTTGAAGCTTTCTTTTGATAGAGCAGTTTTGAAACACTCTTTTTGTGGAATCTGCAAGAGGATATTTGTCTAGCTTTGAGGATTTCGTTGGAAACGGGATTACATATAAAAAGCAGACAGCAGCATTCCCAGAATCTTCTTTGTGATGTTTGCATTCAAGTCACAGAGTTCAACATTCCCTTTCAGAGAGCAGGTTTGAAACACTCTTTTTATAGTATCTGGATGTGGACATTTGGAGCGCTTTCAGGCCTATGGTGAAAAAGGAAATATCTTCTCCTGAAAACTAGACAGAAGCATTCTCAGAATCTTATTTGTGATGTGCGCCCTCAACTAACAGTGTTGAAGCTTTCTTTTGATAGAGCAGATTTGAAACACTCTTTTTGTAAAATCTGCAAGAGGATATTTGCATAGCTTTGAGGATTTCATTGGAAACGGGATTGTCTTCAAATAAACTCTAGACAGAAGCATTCTCAGAAGCTTCATTGGGATGTTTCAATTGAAGTCACAGTGTTGAACAGTCCCTTTCATAGAGCAGGTTTGAAACACTCTTTTTGTAGTATCTGGAAGTGGACATTTGGAGAGATCTCAGGAATACGGTGAAAAAGGAAATATCTTCTCCTGAAAACTAGACAGAAGCATTCTCAGAATCTTATTTGTGATGTGCGCCCTCAACTAACAGTGTTGAAGCATTCTTTTGATAGAGCAGTTTTGAAACACTCTTTTTGTGGAATCTGCAAGTGGATATTTGTCTAGCTTTGAGGATTTCGTTGGAAACGGGATTACATATGAAAAGCAGACAGCAGCATTCTCAGAAACTTATTTGTGATGTGCGCCCTCAACTAACAGTGTTGAAGCTTTATTTTGATAGAGCAGTTTTGAAACACTCTTTTTGTAATATCTGCAAGAGAATATTTGGATAGCTTTGAGGATTTCGTTGGAAACGGGATTGTCTTCATATAAACTCTAGAAAGAAGCATTCTCAGAAGCTTCATTGGGATGTTTCAATTGAAGTCACAGTGTTTAACAGTCCCTTTCATAGAGCAGGTTTGAAACACTCTTTTTGTAGGATCTGGAAGTGGACATTTGGAGAGATCTCAGGAATACGGTGATAAAGGAAATATCTTCCAATAAAAGCTAGATAGAAGCAATGTCAGAAACTTTTTCATGATGTATCTACTCAGCTAACAGAGTTGAACCTTTCTTTTGAGAGAGCAGTTTTGAAACACTCTTTTTGTGGAATCTGCAAGTGGATATTTGTCTAGCTTTGAGGATTTCGTTGGAAACGGGATTACATATAAAAAGCAGACAGCGGCATTCCCAGAAACTTCTTTGTGATGTTTGCATTCAAGTCACAGAGTTGAACATTCCCTTTCATAGAGCAGGTTTGAAACACTCTTTTTGTAGTATCTGGATGTGGACATTTACAGCGCTTTCAGGTCTAAGGTGAAAAAGGAAATATCTTCCCCTGAAAACTACAGAGAAGCATTCTCAGAAACTTATTTGTGATGTGCGCCCTCAACTAACAGTGTTGAAGCTTTCTTTTGATAGAGCAGTTTTGAAACACTCTTTTTGTGGAATCTGCAAGTGGATATTTGTCTAGCTTTGAGGATTTCGTTGGAAACGGGATTACATATAAAAAGCAGACAGCAGCATTCTCAGAAACTTATTTGTGATGTGCGCCCTCAACTAACAGTGTTGAAGCTTTATTTTGATAGAGCAGTTTTGAAACACTCTTTTTGTAATATCTGCAAGAGAATATTTGGATAGCTTTGAGGATTTCGTTGGAAACGGGATTGTCTTCATATAAACTCTAGAAAGAAGCATTCTCAGAAGCTTCATTGGGATGTTTCAATTGAAGTCACAGTGTTGAACAGTCCCTTTCATAGAGCAGGTTTTAAACACTCTTTTTGTAGTATCTGGAAGTGGACATTTGGAGAGATCTCAGGACTACGGTGAAAAAGGAAATATCTTCCAATAAAAGCTAGATAGAAGCAATGTCAGAAACTTTTTCATGATGTATCTACTCAGCTAACAGAGTTGAACCTTTCTTTTGAGAGAGCAGTTTTGAAACACTCTTTTTGTGGAATCTGCAAGTGGATATTTGTCTAGCTTTGAGGATTTCGTTGGAAACGGGATTACATATAAAAAGCAGACAGCAGCATTCCCAGAATCTTCTTTGTGATGTTTGCATTCAAGTCACAGAGTTGAACATTCCCTTTCATAGAGCAGGTTTGAAACACTCTTTTTGTAGTATCTGGATGTGGACATTTGGAGCGCTTTCAGGCCTATGGTGAAAAAGGAAATATCTTCCCCTGAAAACTAGACAGAAGCTTTCTCAGAATCTTATTTGTGATGTGCGCCCTCAACTAACAGTGTTGAAGCTTTCTTTTGATAGAGCAGTTTTGAAACACTCTTTTTGTAAAATCTGCAAGAGGATATTTGGATAGCTTTGAGGATTTCGTTGGAAACGGGATTGTCTTCATATAAACTCTAGACAGAAGCATTCTCAGAAGCTTCATTGGGATGTTTCAATTGAAGTCACAGTGTTGAACAGTCCCTTTCATAGAGCAGGTTTGAAACACTCTTTTTGTAGTATCTGGAAGTGGACATTTGGAGCGCTCTCAGGACTACGGTGAAAAAGGAAATATCTTCCCCTGAAAACTAGACAGAAGCATTCTCAGAAACTTATTTGTGATGTGCACCCTCAACTAACAGTGTTGAAGCTTTCTTTTGATAGAGCAGTTTTGAAACACTCTTTTTGTAAAATCTGCAAGAGGATATTTGGATAGCTTTGAGGATTTCGTTGGAAACGGGATTGTCTTCATATACAATCTAGACAGAAGCATTCTCAGAAACTTATTTGTGATGTGCGCCCTCAACTAACAGTGTTGAAGCTTTCTTTTGATAGAGCAGTTTTGAAACGCTCTTTTTGTAATATCTGCAAGAGGATATTTGGATAGCTTTGAGGATTTCGTTGGAAACGGGTTTGTCTTCATATAAACTCTAGACAGAAGCATTCTCAGAAGCTTCATTGGGATGTTTCAATTGAAGTCACAGTGTTGAACAGTCCCTTTCATAGAGCAGGTTTGAAACACTCTTTTTGTAGTATCTGGAAGTGGACATTTGGAGAGATCTCAGGAATGCGGTGATAAAGGAAATATCATCCAATAAAAGCTAGATAGAAGCAATGTCAGAAACTTTTTCATGATGTATCTACTCAGCTAACAGAGTTGAACCTTTCTTTTGAGAGAGCAGTTTTGAAACACTCTTTTTGTGGAATCTGCAAGTGGATATTTGTCTAGCTTTGAGGATTTCGTTGGAAACGGGATTACATATAAAAAGCAGACAGCGGCATTCCCAGAAACTTCTTTGTGATGTTTGCATTCAAGTCACAGAGTTGAACATTCCCTTTCATAGAGCAGGTTTGAAACACTCTTTTTGTAGTATCTGGATGTGGACATTTGCAGCGCTTTCAGGCCTAAGGTGAAAAAGGAAATATCTTCCCCTGAAAACTAGACAGAAGCATTCTCAGAAACTTATTTGTGATGTGCGCCCTCAACTAACAGTGTTGAAGCTTTCTTTTGATAGAGCAGTTTTGAAACACTCTTTTTGTGGAATCTGCAAGTGGATATTTGTCTAGCTTTGAGGATTTCGTTGGAAACGGGATTACATATAAAAAGCAGACAGCAGCATTCTCAGTAAACTTATTTGTGATGTGCGCCCTCAACTAACAGTGTTGAACCTTTCTTTTGATAGAGCAGTTTTGAAACACTCTTTTTGTAATATCTGCAAGAGGATATTTGGATAGCTTTGAGGATTTCGTTGGAAACGGGATTGTCTTCATATAAACTCTAGACAGAAGCATTCTCAGAAGCTTCATTGGGATGTTTCAATTGAAGTCACAGTGTTGAACAGTCCCTTTCATAGAGCACGTTTGAAACACTCTTTTTGTAGTATCTGGAAGTGGACATTTGGAGCGCTCTCAGGACTGCGGTGAAAAAGGAAATATCTACAATAAAAGCTAGATAGAAGCAATGTCAGAAACTTTTTCATGATGTATCTACTCAGCTAACAGAGTTGAACCTTCCTTTGAGAGAGCAGTTTTGAAACACTCTTTTTGTGGAATCTGCAAGTGGATATTTGTCTAGCTTTGAGGATTTCGTTGGAAACGAGATTACATATAAAAAGCAGACAGCGGCATTCCCAGAAACTTCTTTGTGATGTTTGCATTCAAGTCACAGAGTTGAACATTCCCTTTCATAGAGCAGGTTTGAAACACTCTTTTTGTAGTGTCTGGATGTGGACATTTGCAGCGCTTTCAGGCCTAAGGTGAAAAAGGAAATATCTTCCCCTGAAAACTAGACAGAAGCATTCTCAGAAACTTATTTGTGATGTGCGCCCTCAACTAACAGTGTTGAAGCTTTCTTTTGATAGAGCAGTTTTGAAACACTCTTTTTGTGGAATCTGCAAGTGGATATTTGTCTAGCTTTGAGAATTTCGTTTGAAACGGGATTACATATAAAAAGCAGACAGCAGCATTCCCAGAAACTTGTTTGTGATGTTTGCATTCAAGTCACAGAGTTGAACATTCCCTTTCAGAGAGCAGGTTTGAAACACTCTTTTTATAGTATCTGGATGTGGACATTTGGAGCGCTTTCAGGCCTATGGTGAAAAAGGAAATATCTTCTCCTGAAAACTAGACAGAAGCATTCTCAGAAGCTTCATTGGGATGTTTCAATTGAAGTCACAGTGTTGAACAGTCCCTTTCATAGAGCAGGTTTGAAACACTCTTTTTGTAGTATCTGGAAGTGGACATTTGGAGCGCTCTCAGGACTACGGTGAAAAAGGAAATATCTTCCAATAAAAGCTAGATAGAAGCAATGTCAGAAACTTTTTCATGATGTATCTACTCAGCTAACAGAGTTGAACCTTCCTTTGAGAGAGCAGTTTTGAAACACTCTTTTTGTGGAATCTGCAAGTGGATATTTGTCTAGCTTTGAGGATTTCGTTGGAAACGAGATTACATATAAAAAGCAGACAGCGGCATTCCCAGAAACTTCTTTGTGATGTTTGCATTCAAGTCACAGAGTTGAACATTCCCTTTCATAGAGCAGGTTTGAAACACTCTTTTTGTAGTGTCTGGATGTGGACATTTGCAGCGCTTTCAGGCCTAAGGTGAAAAAGGAAATATCTTCCCCTGAAAACTAGACAGAAGTATTCTCAGAAACTTATTTGTGATGTGCGCCCTCAACTAACAGTGTTGAAGCTTTCTTTTGATAGAGCAGTTTTGAAACATTCTTTTTGTAAAATCTGCAAGAGGATATTTGGATAGGTTTGAGGATTTCGTTGGAAACGGGATTGTCTTCATATTAACCCTAGACAGTAGCATTCTCAGAAGCTTCATTGGGATGTTTCAATTGAAGTCACAGTGTTGAACAGTCCCTTTCTTAGAGCAGGTTTGAAACACTCTTTTTGTAGCATCTGGAAGTGGACATTTGGAGCGTTCTCAGGACTACGGTGAAAAAGGAAATATCTTCCAATAAAAGCTAGATAGGAGCAATGTCAGAAACTTCTTCATGATGTATCTACTCAGCTAAAAGAGTTGAACCTTTCTTTTGAGAGAGCAGTTTTGAAACACTCTTTTTGTGGAATCTGCAAGTGGATATTTGTCTAGCTTTGAGGATTTCGTTGGAAACGGGATTACATATAAAAAGCAGACAGCAGCATTCCCAGAAAGTTCTTTGTGAAATTTGCGTTCAAGTCACAGACTTGAACATTCCCTTTCATAGAGCAGGTTTGAAACACTCTTTTTGTAGTATCTGGATGTGGACATTTGAAGCGCTTTCAGGCCTATGGTGAAAAAGGAAATATCTTCCCCTGAAAACTAGACAGAAGCATTCTCAGAAACTTATTTGTGATGTGCGCCCTCAACTAACAGTGTTGAACCTTTCTTTTGATAGAGCAGTTTTGAAACACTCTTTTTGTAATATCTGCAAGAGGATATTTGGATAGCTTTGAGGATTTCGTTGGAAACGGGATTGTCTTCATATAAACTCTAGACAGAAGCATTCTCAGAAGCTTCATTGGGATGTTTCAATTGAAGTCACAGTGTTGAACAGTTCCTTTCATAGAACAGGTTTGAAACACTCTTTTTGTAGTATCTGGAAGTGGACATTTGGAGCGCTCTCAGGACTATGGTGAAAAAGGAAATATCTTCCAATAAAAGCTACATAGAAGCAATGTCAGAAACTTTTTCATGATGTATCTACTCAGCTAACAGAGTTGAACCTTTCTTTTGAGAGAGCAGTTTTGAAACACTCTTTTTGTGGAATCTGCAAGTGGATATTTGTCTAGCTTTGAGGATTTCGTTGGAAACGGGATTACATATAAAAAGCAGACAGCAGCATTCCCAGAAACTTCTTTGTGATGTTTGCATTCAAGTCACAGAGTTGAACATTCCCTTTCATAGAGCAGGTTTGAAACACTCTTTTTGTAGTATCTGGATGTGGACATTTGCAGCGCTTTCAGGCCTAAGGTGAAAAAGGAAATATCTTCCCCTGAAAACTAGACAAAAGCATTCTCAGAAACTTATTTGTGTTGTGCGCCCTCAACTAACAGTGTTGAAGCTTTCTTTTGATAGAGCAGTTTTGAAACACTCTTTTTGTGGAATCTGCAAGTGGATATTTGTCTAGCTTTGAGGATTTCGATGGAAACGGGATTACATATAAAAAGCAGACAGCAGCATTCCCAGTAACTTCTTTGTGATGTTTGCATTCAAGTCACAGAGTTGAACATTCCCTTTCATAGAGCAGGTTTGAAACACTCTTTTTGTAGTATCTGGAAGTGGACATTTGGAGCGCTTTCAGGCCTAAGGTGAAAAAGGAAATATCTTCCCCTGAAAACTAGACAGAAGCATTCTCAGAAACTTATTTGTGATGTGCGCCCTCAACTAACAGTGTTGAAGCTTTCTTTTGATAGAGCAGTTTTGAAACACTCTTTTTGTAATATCTGCAAGAGGATATTTGGACAGCTTTGAGGATTTCGTTGGAAACGGGATTGTCTTCATATAAACTCTAGACAGAAGCATTCTCAGAAGCTTCATTGGGATGTTTCAATTGAAGTCACAGTGTTGAACAGTCCCTTTCATAGAGCAGGTTTGAAACACTCTTTTTGTAGTATCTGGAAGTGGACATGTGGAGAGATCTCAGGAATACGGTGATAAAGGAAATATCTTCCAATAAAAGCTAGATAGAAGCAATGTCAGAAACTTTTTCATGATGTATCTACTCAGCTAACAGAGTTGAACCTTTCCTTTGAGAGAGCAGTTTTGAAACACTCTTTTTGTGGAATCTGCAAGTGGATATTTGTCTAGCTTTGAGGATTTCGTTGGAAACGGGATTACATATAAAAAGCAGACAGCAGCATTCCCAGAATCTTCTTTGTGATATTTGCATTCAAGTCACAGAGTTGAACATTCCCTTTCATAGAGCAGGTTTCAAACACTCTTTTTGTAGTATCTGGATGTGGACATTTGCAGCGCTTTCAGGCCTAAGGTGAAAAAGGAAATATCTTCCCCTGAAAACTAGACAGAAGAATTCTCAGAATCTTATTTGTGATGTGCGCCCTCAACTAACAGTGTTGAAGCTTTCTTTTGATAGAGCAGTTTTGAAACACTCTTTTTGTAAAATCTGCAAGAGGATATTTGGATACCTTTGAGGATTTCGTTGGAAACGGGATTGTCTTCATATAAACTCTACACAGAAGCATTCTCAGAAGCGTCATTGGGATGTTTCAATTGAAGTCACAGTGTTGAACAGTCCCTTTCATAGAGCAGGTTTGAAACACTCTTTTTGTAGTATCTGGATGTGGACATTTGGAGCGCTTTCAGGCCTATGGTTTAAAAGGACATATCTTCCCCTGAAAACTAGACAGAAGCATTCTCAGAAACTTATTTGTGATGTGCGCCTTCAACTAACAGTGTTGAAGCATTCTTTTGATAGAGCAGTTTTGAAACACTCTTTTTGTGGAATCTGCAAGTGGATATTTGTCTAGCTTTGAGGATTTCGTTGGAAACGGGATTACATATAAAAAGCAGACAGCAGCATTCTCAGAATCTTATTTGTGATGTGCGCCCTCAACTAGCAGTGTTGAACCTTTCTTTTGATAGAGCAGTTTTGAAACACTCTTTTTGTAAAATCTGCAAGAGGATATTTGGATAGCTTTGAGGATTTCGCTGGAAACGGGATTGTCTTCATATAAACTCTAGACAGAAGCATTCTCAGAAGCTTCATTGGGATGTTTCAATTGAAGTCACAGTGTTTAACAGTCCCTTTCATAGAGCAGGTTTGAAACACTCTTTTTGTAGGATCTGGAAGTGGACATTTGGAGAGATCTAAGGAATACGGTGATAAAGGAAATATCTTCCAATAAAAGCTAGATAGAAGCAATGTCAGAAACTTTTTCATGATGTATCTACTCAGCTAACAGAGTTGAACCTTTCTTTTGAGAGAGCAGTTTTGAAACACTCTTTTTGTGGAATCTGCAAGTGGATATTTGTCTAGGTTTGAGGATTTCGTTGGAAACGGGATTACATATAAAAAGCAGACAGCAGCATTCCCAGTAACTTCTTTGTGATGTTTGCATTCAAGTCACAGAGTTGAACATTCCCTTTCATAGAGCAGGTTTCAAACACTCTTTTTGTAGTATCTGGATGTGGACATTTGGAGCGCTTTCAGGCCTATGGTGAAAAAGGAAATATCTTCCCCTGAAAACTAGACAGAAGCATTCTCAGAAACTTATTTGTGATGTGCGCCCTCAACTAACAGTGTTGAAGCTTTCTTTTGATAGAGCAGTTTTGAAACACTCTTTTTGTAATATCTGCAAGAGGATATTTGGATAGCTTTGAGGATTTCGTTGGAAACGGGATTGTCTTCATATAAACTCTAGACAGAAGCATTCTCAGAAGCGTCATTGGGATGTTTCAATTGAAGTCACAGTGTTGAACAGTCCCTTTCATAGAGCAGGTTTGAAACACTCTTTTTGTAGTATCTGGATGTGGACATTTGGAGCGCTTTCAGGCCTATGGTTTAAAAGGAAATATCTTCCCCTGAAAACTAGACAGAAGCATTCTCAGAAACTTATTTGTGATGTGCGCCCTCAACTAACAGTGTTGAAGCTTTCTTTTGATAGAGCAGTTTTGAAACACTCTTTTTGTGGAATCTGCAAGTGGATATTTGTCTAGCTTTGAGGATTTCGTTGGAAACGGGATTACATATAAAAAGCAGACAGCAGCATTCTCAGTAAACTTATTTGTGATGTGCGCCCTCAACTAACAGTGTTGAACCTTTCTTTTGATAGAGCAGTTTTGAAACACTCTTTTTGTAATATCTGCAAGAGGATATTTGGATAGCTTTGAGGATTTCGTTGGAAACGGGATTGTCTTCATATAAACTCTAGACAGAAGCATTCTCAGAAGCTTCATTGGGATGTTTCAATTGAAGTCACAGTGTTGAACAGTCCCTTTCATAGAGCAGGTTTGAAACACTCTTTTTGTAGTATCTGGAAGTGGACATTTGGAGCGCTCTCAGGACTGCGGTGAAAAAGGAACTATCTTCCAATAAAAGCTAGATAGAAGCAATGTCAGAAACTTTTTCATGATGTATCTACTCAGCTAACAGAGTTGAACTGAACCTTCCTTTGAGAGAGCAGTTTTGAAACACTCTTTTTGTGGAATCTGCAAGTGGATATTTGTCTAGCTTTGAGGATTTCGTTGGAAACGGGATTGTCTTCATATAAACTCTAGACAGAAGCATTCCCAGAAACTTCTTTGTGATGTTTGCATTCAAGTCACAGAGTTGAATATTCCCTTTCATAGAGCAGGTTTGAAACACTCTTTTTGTAGTATCTGGATGTGGACATTTTGAGGGCTTTCAGGCCTATGGTGAAAAAGGAAATATCTTCCCCTGAAAACTAGACAGAAGCATTCTCAGAAACTTATTTGTGATGTGCGCCCTCAACTAACAGTGTTGAAGCTTCCTTTTGATAGAGCAGTTTTGAAACACTCTTTTTGTAATATCTGCAAGAGGATATTTGGATAGCTTTGAGGATTTCGTTGGAAACGGGATTGTCTTCATATAAACTCTAGACAGAAGCATTCTCAGAAGCTTCATTGGGATGTTTCAATTGAAGTCACAGTGTTGAACAGTCCCTTTCATAGAGCAGGTTTGAAACACTCTTTTTGTAGTATCTGGATGTGGACATTTGGAGCGCTTTCAGGCCTACGGTTTAAAAGGAAATATCTTCCCCTGAAAACTAGACAGAAGCATTCTCAGAAACTTATTTGTGATGTGCGCCCTCAACTAACAGTGTTGAAGCTTTCTTTTGATAGAGCAGTTTTGAAACACTCTTTTTGTGGAATCTGCAAGTGGATATTTGTCTAGCTTTGAGGATTTCGTTGGAAACGGGATTACATATAAAAAGCAGACAGCAGCATTCTCAGAATCTTATTTGTGATGTGGGCCCTCAACTAACAGTGTTGAAGCTTTCTTTTGATAGAGCAGTTTTGAAACACTCTTTTTGTAAAATCTGCAAGTGGATATTTGGATAGCTTTGAGGATTTCGTTGGAAACGGGATTGTCTTCATATAAACTCTAGACAGAAGCATTCTCAGAAGCTTCATTGGGATGTTTCAATTGAAGTCACAGTGTTGAACAGTCCCTTTCATAGAGCAGGTTTGAAACACTCTTTTTGTAGTATCTGGAAGTGGACATTTGGAGAGATCTCAGGAATACGGTGATGAAGGAAATATCTTCCAATAAAAGCTAGATAGAAGCAATGTCAGAAACTTTTTCATGATGTATCTACTCAGCTAACAGAGTTGAACCTTTCTTTTGAGAGAGCAGTTTTGAAACACTCTTTTTGTGGAATCTGCAAGTGGATATTTGTCTAGCTTTGAGGATTTCGTTGGAAACGGGATTACATATAAAAAGCAGACAGCAGCATTCCCAGAAACTTCTTTGTGATGTTTGCATTCAAGTCACAGAGTTGAACATTCCCTTTCATAGAGCAGGTTTGAAACACTCTTTTTGTAGTATCTGGATGTGGACATTTGGAGCGCTCTGAGGCCTATGGTGAAAAAGGAAATATCTTCCCCTGAAAACTAGACAGAAGCATTCTCAGAATCTTATTTGTGATGTGCGCCCTCAACTAACAGTGTTGAAGCTTTCTTTTGATAGAGCAGTTTTGAAACACTCTTTTTGTAAAATCTGCAAGAGGATATTTGGATAGCTTTGAGGATTTCGTTGGAAACGGGATTGTCTTCATATAAACTCTAGACAGAAGCATTCTCAGAAGCTTCATTGGGATGTTTCAATTGAAGTTGCAGTGTTGAACAGTCCCTTTCATAGAGCAGGTTTGAAACACTCTTTTTGTAGTATCTGGATGTGGACATTTGGAGCGCTTTCAGGCCTATGGTTTAAAAGGAAATATCTTCCCCTGAAAACTAGACAGAAGCATTCTCAGAAACTTATTTGTGATGTGCGCCCTCAAGTAAGAGTGTTGAAGCATTCTTTTGATAGAGCAGTTTTGAAACACTCTTTTTGTGGAATCTGCAAGTGGATATTTGTCTAGCTTTGAGGATTTCGTTGGAAACGGGATTACATATAAAAAGCAGACAGCTAAGCATTCTCCGAAACTTATTTGTGATGGGCGCCCTCAACTAACAGTGTTGAAGCTTTCTTTTGATAGAGCAGTTTTGAAACACTCTTTTTGTAATATCTGCAAGAGGATATTTGGATAGCTTTCAGGATTTCGTTGGAAACGGGATTGTCTTCATATAAACTCTAGACATAAGCATTCTCAGAAGCTTCATTGGGATGTTTCAATTGAAGTCACAGTGTTGAACAGTCCCTTTCGTAGAGCAGGTTTGAAACACTCTTTTTGTAATATCTGGAAGTGGACATTTGGAGCGTTCTCAGGACTATGGTGAAAAAGGAAATATCTTCCAATAAAAGCTAGAGAGAAGCAATGTCAGAAACTTTTTCATGATGTATCTACTCAGCTAACAGCAGTTGAACCTTTCTTTTGAGACAGCAGTTTTGAAACACTCTTTTTGTGGAATCTGGAAGTGGATATTTGTCTAGCTTTGAGGATTTCGTTGGAAACGGGATTACATATAAAAAGCAGACAGCAGCATTCCCAGAAACTTCTTTGTGATGTTTGCATTCAAGTCACAGAGTTGAACATTCCCTTTCAGAGAGCAGGTTTGAAACACTCTTTTTGTAGTATCTGTATGTGGACATTTGGAGCGCTTTCAGGCCTATGGTGAAAAAGGAAATATCTTCCCCTGAAAACTAGACGGAAGCATTCTCAGTAATCTTATTTGTGATGTGCGCACTCAACTAACAGTGTTGAAGCTTTCTTTCGATAGAGCAGTTTTGAAACACTCTTTTTGTAAAATCTGCAAGAGGATATTTGGATAGCTTTGAGGATTTCGTTGGAAACGGGATTGTCTTCATATAAACTCTAGACAGAAGCATTCTCAGAAGCTTCATTGGGATGTTTCAATTGAAGTCACAGTGTTGAACAGTCCCTTTCATAGAGCAGGTTTGAAACACTCTTTTTGTAGTATCTGGATGTGGACATTTGGAGCGCTTTCAGGCCTATGGTGAAAAAGGAAATATCTTCCCCTGAAAACTAGACAGAAGCATTCTCAGAAACTTATTTGTGATGTGCGCCCTCAACTAACAGTGTTGAAGCTTTCTTTTGATAGAGCAGTTTTGAAACACTCTTTTTGTAATATCTGCAAGAGGATATTTGGATAGCTTTGAGGATTTCGTTGGAAACGGGATTAATTATAAAAAGCAGACAGCAGCATTCTCAGAAACTTATTTGTGATGTGCGCCCTCAACTAACAGTGTTGAAGCTTTCTTTTGATAGAGCAGTTTTGAAACACTCTTTTTGTAATATCTGCAAGAGGATATTTGGATAGCTTTGAGGATTTCGTTGGAAACGGGATTAATTATACAAAGCAGACAGCAGAATTCTCAGAAGCTTCATTGGATGTTTCAATTGAAGTCACAGTGTTGAACAGTCCCTTTCATAGAGCAGGTTTGAAACACTCTTTTTGTAGTATCTGGAAGTGGACATTTGGAGCGATCACAGTACTACGGTGAAAAAGGAAATATCTTCCAATAAAAGCTACATAGAAGCAATGTGAGAAACTTTTTCATGATGTATCTACTCAGCTAACAGAGTTGAACCTTTCCTTTGAGAGAGCAGTTTTGAAACACTCTTTTTAAGGAATCTGCAAGTGGATATTTGTCTAGCTTTGAGGATTTCGTTGGAAACGGGATTACATATAAAAAGCAGACAGCAGCATTCCCAGAAACTTCTTTGTGATGTTTGCATTCAAGTCACAGAGTTGAACATTCCCTTTCATAGAGCAGGTTTGAAACACTCTTTTTGTAGTATCTGGATGTGGACATTTGGAGCGCTTTCAGGCGTATGGTGAAAAAGGAAATATCTTCCCTTGAAAACTAGACAGAAGCATTCTCAGAAACTTATTTGTGATGTGCGCCCTCAACTAACAGTGTTGAAGCTTTCTTTTGATAGAGCAGTTTTGAAACACTCTTTTTGTAAAATCTGCAAGAGGATATTTGGATAGCTTTGAGGATTTCGTTGGAAACGGGATTGTCTTCATATAAACTCTAGACAGAAGCATTCTCAGAAGCTTCATTGGGATGTTTCAATTGAAGTCACAGTGTTGAACAGTCCCTTTCATAGAGCAGGTTTGAAACACTCTTTTTGTAGTATCTGGAAGTGGACATTTGGAACGCTCTCAGGACTGCGGTGAAAAAGGAAATATCTTCCAATAAAAGCTAGATAGAAGCAATGTCAGAAACTTTTTCATGATGTATCTACTCAGCTAACAGAGTTGAACCTTTCTTTTGAGAGAGCAGTTTTGAAACACTCTTTTTGTGGAATCTGCAAGTGGATATTTGTCTAGCTTTGAGGATTTCGTTGGAAACGGGATTACATAGAAAAAGCAGACAGCAGCATTCTCACAAACTTCTTGGTGATATTTGCATTCAAGTCACAGACTTGAACATTCCCTTTCATAGAGCAGGTTTGAAACACTCTTTTTGTAGTATCTGGATGTGGACATTTGGAGCGCTTTCAGGCCTATGGTGAAAAAGGAAATATCTTCCCCTGAAAGCTAGACAGAAGCATTCTCAGAAACTTATTTGTGATGTGCTCCCACAACTAACAGTGTTAAACCTTTCTATTGATAGAGTAGTTTTGAAACACTCTTTTTGTAAAATCTGCAAGAGGATATTTGGATAGCTTTGAGGATTTCGTTGGAAACGGGATTGTCTTCATCTAAAATCTAGACAGAAGCATTCTCAGAAGCTTCATTGGGATGTTTCAATTGAAGTCACAGTATTGAACAGTCCCTTTCATAGAGCAGGTTTGAAACACTCTTTTTGTAGTATCTGGATGTGGACATTTGGAGCGCTTTCAGGCCTATGGTTTAAAAGGAAATATCTTCCCCTGAAAACTAGACAGAAGCATTCTCAGAAACTTATTTGTGATGTGCGCCCTCAACTAACAGTGTTGAAGCATTCTTTTGATAGAGCAGTTTTGAAATACTCTTTTTGTGGAATCTGCAAGTAGATATTTGTCTAGCTTTGAGGATTTCGTTGGAAACGGGATTACATATAAAAAGCAGACAGCAGCATTCCCAGTAACTTCTTTGTGACAGTTTGCATTCAAGTCACAGAGTTGAACATTCCCTTTCATAGAGCAGGTTTGAAACACTCTTTTTGTAGTATCTGGATGTGGACATTTGGAGCGCTTTCAGGCCTATGGTGAAAAAGGAAATATCTTCCCCTGAAAACTAGGCAGAAGCATTCTCAGAATCTTATTTGTGATGTGCGCCCTCAACTAACAGTGTTGAAGCTTTCTTTTGATAGAGCAGTTTTGAAACACTCTTTTTGTAAAATCTGCAAGAGGATATTTGGATAGCTTTGAGGATTTCGTTGGAAACGGGATTGTCTTCATATAAACTCTAGACAGAAGCATTCTCAGAAGCGTCATTAGGATGTTTCAATTGAAGTCACAGTGTTGAACAGTCCCTTTCATAGAGCAGGTTTGAAACACTCTTTTTGTAGTATCTGGATGTGGACATTTGGAGCGCTTTCAGGCCTATGGTTTAAAAGGAAATATCTTCCCCTGAAAACTAGACAGAAGCATTCTCAGAAACTTATTTGTGATGTGCGCCCTCAACTAACAGTGTTGAAGCATTCTTTTGATAGAGCAGTTTTGAAACACTCTTTTTGTGGAATCTGCAAGTGGATATTTGTCTAGCTTTGAGGATTTCGTTGGAAACGGGATTACATATAAAAAGCAGACAGCAGCATTCTCAGAAACTTATTTGTGATGTGCGCCCTCAACTAACAGTGTTGAAGCTTTCTTTTGATAGAGCAGTTTTGAAACACTCTTTTTGTAATATCTGCAAGAGGATATTTGGATAGCTTTGAGGATTTCGTTGGAAACGGGATTAATTATACAAAGCAGACAGCAGCATTCTCAGAAGCTTCATTGGGATGTTTCAATTGAAGTCACAGTGTTGAACAGTCCCTTTCATAGAGCAGGTTTGAAACACTCTTTTTGTAGTATCTGGAAGTGGACATTTGGAGCGTTCTCAGGACTACGGTGAAAAGGGAAATATCTTCCAATAAAAGCTAGATAGAAGCAATGTCAGAAACATTTTCATGATGTATCTACTCAGCTAACAGAGTTGAAACTTTCTTTTGAGAGAGCAGTTTTGAAACACTCTTTTGGTGGAATCTGCAAGTGGATATTTGTCTAGCTTTGAGGATTTCGTTGGAAACGGGATTACATATAAAAAGCAGACAGCAGCATTCCCAGAAACTTCTTTGTGATGTTTGCATTCAAGTCACAGAGTTGAACATTCCCTTTCATAGAGCAGGTTTGAAACAGTCTTTTTGTAGTATCTGGATGTGGAGATTTGGAGCGCTTTCAGGCCTATGGTGAAAAAGGAAATATCTTCCCCTGAAAACTAGACAGAAGCATTCTCAGAATCTTATTTGTGATGTGCGCCCTCAACTAACAGTGTTGAAGCTTTCTTTTGATAGAGCAGTTTTGAAACACTCTTTTTGTAAAATCTGCAAGAGGATATTTGCATAGCTTTGAGGATTTCGTTGGAAACGGGATTGTCTTCATATAAACTCTAGACAGAAGCATTCTCAGAAGCTTCATTGGGATGTTTCAATTGAAGTCACAGTGTTGAACAGTCCCTTTCATAGAGCAGGTTTGAAACACTCTTTTTGTAGTATCTGGATGTGGACATTTGGAGCGCTTTCAGGCCTATGGTGAAAAAGGAAATATCTTCCCCTGAAAACTAGACAGAAGCATTCTCAGAAACTTATTTGTGATGTGCGCCCTCAACTAACAGTGTTGAAGCTTTCTTTTGATAGAGCAGTTTTGAAACACTCTTTTTGTGGAATCTGCAAGTGGATATTTGTCTAGCTTTGAGGATTTCGTTGGAAACGGGATTACATATAAAAAGCAGACAGCAGCATTCTCAGTAAACTTATTTGTGATGTGCGCCCTCAACTAACAGTGTTGAACCTTTCTTTTGATAGAGCAGTTTTGAAACACTCTTTTTGTAATATCTGCAAGAGGATATTTGGATAGCTTTGAGGATTTCGTTGGAAACGGGATTGTCTTCATATAAACTCTAGACAGAAGCATTCTCAGAAGCTTCATTGGGATGTTTCAATTGAAGTCACAGTGTTGAACAGTCCCTTTCATAGAGCAGGTTTGAAACACTCTTTTTGCAGTATCTGGAAGTGGACATTTGGAGCGCTCTCAGGACTACGGTGAAAAAGGAAATATCTTCCAATAAAAGCTAGATAGAAGCAATGTCAGAACCTTTTTCATGATGTATCTACTCAGCTAACAGAGTTGAACCTTTCTTTTGAGAGAGCAGTTTTGAAACACTCTTTTTGTGGAATCTGCAAGTGGATATTTGTCTAGCTTTGAGGATTTCGTAGGAAACGGGATTACATATAAAAAGCAGACAGCAGCATTCCCAGAATCTTCTTTGTGATGTTTGCATTCAAGTCACAGAGTTGAACATTCCCTTTCATAGAGCAGGTTTGAAACACTCTTTTTGTAGTATCTGGATGTGGACATTTGGAGCGCTTTCAGGCCTATGGTGAAAAAGGAAATATCTTCTCCTGAAAACTAGACAGAAGCATTCTCAGAATCTTATTTGTGATGTGCGTCCTCAACTAACAGTGTTGAAGCTTTCTTTTGATAGAGCAGTTTTGAAACACTCTTTTCGTAAAATCTGCAAGAGGATATTTGGATAGCTTTGAGGATTTCGTTGGAAACGGGATTGTCTTCATATAAACTCTAGACAGAAGCATTCTCAGAAGCGTCATTGGGATGTTTCAATTGAAGTCACAGTGTTGAACAGTCCCTTTCATAGAGCAGGTTTGAAACACTCTTTTTGTAGTATCTGGATGTGGACATTTGGAGCGCTTTCAGGCCTATGGTTTAAAAGGAAATATCTTCCCCTGAAAACTAGACAGAAGCATTCTCAGAAACTTATTTGTGATGTGCGCCCTCAACTAACAGTGCTGAAGCATTCTTTTGATAGAGCAGTTTTGAAACACTCTTTTTGTGGAATCTGGAAGTGGATATTTGTCTAAATTTGAGGATTTCGTTGGAAACGGGATTACATATAAAAAGCAGACAGCAGCATTCTCAGAAACTTATTTGTGATGTGCGCCCTCAACTAACAGTGTTGAAGCTTTCTTTTGATAGAGCAGTTTTGAAACACTCTTTTTGTAATATCTGCAAGAGGATATTTGGATAGCTTTGAGGATTTCGTTGGAAACGGGATTAATTATACAAAGCAGACAGCAGCATTCCCAGAAGCTTCATTGGGATGTTTCAATTGAAGTCACAGTGTTGAACAGTTCCTTTCATAGAACAGGTTTGAAACACTCTTTTTGTAGTATCTGGAAGTGGACATTTGGAGCGCTCTCAGGACTAGGGTGAAAAAGGAAATATCTTCCAATAAAAGCTAGATAGAAGCAATGTCAGAAACTTTTTCATGATGTATCTACTCAGCTAACAGAGTTGAACCTTTCCTTTGAGAGAGCAGTTTTGAAACACTCTTTTTGTGGAATCTGCAAGTGGATATTTGTCTAGCTTTGAGGATTTCGTTGGAAACGGGATTACATATAAAAAGCAGACAGCAGCATTCCCAGTAACTTCTTTCTGATGTTTGCATTCAAGTCACAGGAGTTGAACGTTCCCTTTCATAGAGCAGGTTTGAAACACTCTTTTTGAAGTATCTGGATGTGGACATTTGGAGCGCTTTCAGGCCTATGGTGAAAAAGGAAATATCTTCCCCTGAAAACTAGACAGAAGCATTCTCAGAAACTTATTTGTGATGTGCGCCCTCAACTAACAGTGTTGAAGCTTTCTTTTGATAGAGCAGTTTTGAAACACTCTTTTTGTAATATCTGCAAGTGGATATTTGGATAGCTTTGAGGATTTCGTTGGAAACGGGATTGTCTTCATATAAACTCTAGACAGAAGCATTCTCAGAAGCTTCATTGGGATGTTTCAATTGAAGTCACAGTGTTGAACAGTCCCTTTCATAGAGCAGGTTTGAAACACTCTTTTTGTAGTATCTGGATGTGGACATTTCGAGCGCTTTCAGGCCTATGGTGAAAAAGGAAATATCTTCCCCTGAAAACTAGACAGAAGCATTCTCAGAAACTTATTTGTGATGTGCGCCCTCAACTAACAGTGTTGAAGCTTTCTTTTGATAGAGCAGTTTTGAAACACTCTTTTTGTGGAATCTGCAAGTGGATATTTGTCTAGCTTTGAGGATTTCGTTGGAAACGGGATTACATATAAAAAGCAGACAGCAGCATTCTCAGAATCTTATTTGTGATGTGCGCCCTCAACTAACAGTGTTGAAGCTTTCTTTTGATAGAGCAGTTTTGAAACAGTCTTTTTCTAAAATCTGCAAGAGGATATTTGGATAGCTTTGAGGATTTCGTTGGAAACGGGATTGTCTTCATATAAACTCTAGACAGAAGCATTCTCAGAAGCTTCATTGGGATGTTTCAATTGAAGTCACAGTGTTGAACAGTCCCTTTCATAGAGCAGGTTTGAAACACTCTTTTTGTAGTATCTGGAAGTGGACATTTGGAGAGATCTCAGGACTACGGTGAAAAAGGAAATAGCTTCCAATAAAAGCTAGATAGAAGCAATGTCAGAAACTTTTTCATGATGTGTCTACTCAGCTAACAGAGTTGAACCTTTCTTTTGAGAGAGCAGTTTTGAAACACTCTTTTTGTGGAATCTGCAAGTGGATATTTGTCTAGCTTTGAGGATTTCGTTGGAAACGGGATTACATATAAAAAGCAGACAGCAGCATTCCCAGAAACTTCTTTGTGATGTTTGCATTCAAGTCACAGAGTTGAACATTCCCTTTCATAGAGCAGGTTTGAAACACTCTTTTTGTAGTATCTGGATGTGGACATTTGGAGCGCTTTCAGGCCTATGGTGAAAAAGGAAATATCTTCCCCTGAAAACTAGACAGAAGCATTCTCAGAATCTTATTTGTGATGTGCGCCCTCAACTAACAGTGTTGAAGCTTTCTTTTGATAGAGCAGTTTTGAAACACTCTTTTTGTAAAATCTGCAAGAGGATATTTCGATAGCTTTGAGGATTTCATTGGAAACGGGATTGTCTTCATATAAACTCTAGACAGAAGCATTCTCGGAAGCTTCATTGGGATGTTTCAATTGAAGTCACAGTGTTGAACAGTCCCTTTCATAGAGCAGGTTTGAAACACTCTTTTTGTAGTATCTGGATGTGGACATTTGGAGCGCTTTCAGGCCTATGGTGAAAAAGGAAATATCTTCCCCTGAAAACTAGACAGAAGCATTCTCAGAAACTTATTTGTGATGTGCGCCCTCAACTAACAGTGTTGAAGCATTCTTTTGATAGAGCAGTTTTGAAACACTCTTTTTGTGGAATCTGCAAGTGGATATTTGTCTAGCTTTGAGGATTTCGTTGGAAACGGGATTACATATAAAAAGCAGACAGCAGCATTCTCAGTAAACTTATTTGTGATGTGCGCCCTCAACTAACAGTGTTGAACCTTTCTTTTGATAGAGCAGTTTTGAAACACTCTTTTTGTAATATCTGCAAGAGGATATTTGGATAGCTTTGAGGATTTCGTTGGAAACGGGATTGTCTTCATATAAACTCTAGACAGAAGCATTCTCAGAAGCTTCATTGGGATGTTTCAATTGAAGTCACAGTGTTGAACATTTCCTTTCATAGAACAGGTTTGAAACACTCTTTTTGTAGTATCTGGAAGTGGACATTTGGAGCGCTCTCAGGACTATGGTGAAAAAGGAAATATCTTCCAATAAAAGCTACATAGAAGCAATGTCACAAACTTTTTCATGATGTATCTACTCAGCTAACAGAGTTGAACCTTTCTTTTGAGAGAGCAGTTTTGAAACACTCTTTTTGTGGAATCTGCAAGTGGATATTTGTCTAGCTTTGAGGATTTCGTTGGAAACGGGATTACATATAAAAAGCAGACAGCAGCATTCCCAGTAACTTCTTTGTGAGGTTTGCATTCAAGTCACAGAGTTGAACATTCCCTTTCATAGAGCAGGTTTGAAACACTCTTTTTGTAGTATCTGGATGTGGACATTTGGAGCGCTTTCAGGCCTATGGTGAAAAAGGAAATATCTTCCAATAAAAGCTAGATAGAAGCATTCTCAGAATTTTATTTGTGATGTGCGCCCTCAACTAACAGTGTTGAAGCTTTCTTTTGATAGAGCAGTTTTGAAACACTCTTTTTGTAAAATCTGCTAGAGGATATTTGGATAGCTTTGAGGATTTCTTTGGAAACGGGATTGTCTTCATATAAACTCTAGACAGAAGCATTCTCAGATGCTTCATTGGGATGTTTCAATTGAAGTCACAGTGTTGAACAGTCCCTTTCATAGAGCAGGTTTGAAACACTCTTTTTGTAGTATCTGGATGTGGACATTTGGAGCGCTTTCAGGCCTATGGTGAAAAAGGAAATATCTTCCCCTGAAAACTAGACAGAAGCATTCCCAGAAACTTCTTTGTGATGTTTGCATTCAAGTCACAGAGTTGAACATTCCCTTTTAGAGAGCAGGTTTGAAACACTCTTTTTGTAGTATCTGGATGTGGACATTTGGAGCGCTTTCAGCCCTATGGTGAAAAAGGAAATATCTTCCCCTGAAAACTAGACAGAAGCATTCTCAGAATCTTATTTGTGATGTGCGCCCTCAACTAACAGTGTTGAAGCTTTCTTTTGATAGAGCAGTTTTGAAACACTCTTTTTGTAAAATCTGCAAGAGGATATTTGGATAGCTTTGAGGGTTTCGTTGGAAACGGGATTGTCTTCCTATAAACTCTAGACAGAAGCATTCTCAGAAGCTTCATTGGGATGTTTCAATTGAAGTCACAGTGTTGAACAGTCCCTTTCATAGAGCAGGTTTGAAACACTCTTTTTGTAGTATCTGGAAGTGGACATTTGGAGCGCTCTCAGGACTACGGTGAAAAAGGAAATATCTTCCAATAAAAGCTACATAGAAGCAATGTCAGAAACTTTTTCATGATGTATCTACTCAGCTAACAGAGTTGAACCTTTCCTTTGAGAGAGCAGTTTTGAAACACTCTTTTTGTGGAATCTGCAAGTGGATATTTGTCTAGCTTTGAGGATTTCGTTGGAAACGGGATTACATATAAAAAGCAGACAGCAGCATTCCCAGAAACTTCTTTGTGATGTTTGCATTCAAGTCACAGAGTTGAACATTCCCTTTCATAGAGCAGGTTTGAAACACTCTTTTTGTAGTATCTGGATGTGGACATTTGGAGCGCTTTCAGGCCTATGGTGAAAAAGGAAATATCTTCCACAGAAAACTAGACAGAAGCATTCTCAGAATCTTATTTGTGATGTGCGCCCTCAACTAACAGTGTTGAAGCTTTCTTTTGATAGAGCAGTTTTGAAACACTCTTTTTGTAAAATCTGCAAGAGGATATTTGGATAGCTTTGAGGATTTCGTTGGAAACGGGATTGTCTTCATATAAACTCTAGACAGAAGCATTCTCAGAAGCATCATGGGGATGTTTCAATTGAAGTCACAATGTTGAACAGTCCCTTTCATAGAGCAGGTTTGAAACACTCTTTTTGTAGTATCTGGATGTGGACATTTGAGCGCTTTCAGGCCTATGGTGAAAAAGGAAATATCTTCCCCTGAAAACTAGACAGAAGCATTCTCAGAAACTTATTTGTGATGTGCGCCCTCAACTAACAGTGTTGAAGCATTCTTTTGATAGAGCAGTTTTGAAAGACTCTTTTTGTGGAATCTGCAAGTGGATATTTGTCTAGCTTTGAGGATTTCGTTGGAAACGGGATTACATATAAAAAGCAGACAGCAGCATTCTCAGAATCTTATTTGTGATGTGCGCCCTCAACTAACAGTGTTGAACCTTTCTTTTGATAGAGCAGTTTTTAAACACACTTTTTGTAAAATCTGCAAGAGGATATTTGGATAGCTTTGAGGATTTCGTTGGAAACGGGATTGTCTTCATATAAATTCTAGACAGAAGCATTCTCAGAAGCTTCATTGGGATGTTTCAATTGAAGTCACAGTGTTGAACAGTCCCTTTCATAGTGCAGGTTTGAAACACTCTTTTTGTAGTATCTGGAAGTGGACATTTGGAGCGTTCTCAGGACTACAGTGAAAAAGGAAATATCTTCCAATAAAAGCTAGATAGAAGCAATGTCAGAAACTTTTTCATGATGTATCTACTCAGCTAACAGAGGTGAACCTTTCCTTTGAGAGAGCAGTTTTGAAACACTCTTTTTGTGGAATCTGCAAGTGGATATTTGTCTAGCTTTGAGGATTTCGTTGGAAACGGGATTACATATAAAAAGCAGACAGCAGCATTCCCAGTAACTTCTTTGTGATGTTTGCATTCAAGTCAGAGAGTTGAACATTCCCTTTCATAGAGCAGGTTTGAAACACTCTTTTTGAAGTATCTGGTTGTGGACATTTGGAGCGCTTTCTGGCCTATGGTGAAAAAGGAAATATCTTCCCCTGAAAACTAGACAGAAGCATTCTCAGAAACTTATTTGTGATGTGCGCCCTCAACTAACAGTGTTGAACCTTTCTTTTGATAGAGCAGTTTTGAAACACTCTTTTTGTAATATCTGCAAGAGGATATTTGGATAGCTTTGAGGATTTCGTTGGAAAAGGGATTGTCTTCATATAAACTCTAGACAGAAGCATTCTCAGAAGCTTCATTGGGATGTTTCAATTGAAGTCACAGTGTTGAACAGTCCCTTTCATAGAGCAGGTTTGAAACACTCTTTTTGTAGTATCTGGAAGTGGACATTTGGAGCGCTCTCAGGACTCCGGTGATAAAGGAAATATCTTCCAATAAAAGCTAGATAGAAGCAATGTCAGAAACTTTTTCATGATGTATCTACTCAGCTAACAGAGTTGAACCTTTCTTTTGAGAGAGCAGTTTTGAAACACTCTTTTTGTGGAATCTGCAAGCGGATATTTTTCTAGCTTTGAGGATTTCGTTGGAAACGGGATTACCTATAAAAAGCAGACAGCAGCATTCCCAGTAACTTCTTTGTGATGTTTGCATTCAAGTCACAGAGTTGAACATGCCCTTTCATAGAGCAGGTTTGAAACACTCTTTTTGTAGTATCTGGATGTGGACATTTGGAGCGCTTTCAGGCCTATGGTGAAAAAGGAAATATCTTCTCCTGAAAACTAGACAGAAGCATTCTCAGAATCTTATTTGTGATGTGCGCCCTCAACTAACAGTGTTGAAGCTTTCTTTTGATAGAGCAGTTTTGAAACACTCTTTTTGTAAAATCTGCAAGAGGATATTTGGATAGCTTTGAGGATTTCGTTGGAAACGGGATTGTCTTCATATAAACTCTAGACAGAAGCATTCTCAGATGCTTCATTGGGACGTTTCAATTGAAGTCACAGTGTTGAACAGTCCCTTTCATAGAGCAGGTTTGAAACACTCTTTTTGTAGTATCTGGATGTGGACATTTGGAACGCTTTCAGGCCTATGGTGAAAAAGGAAATATCTTCCCCTGAAAACTACACAGAAGCATTCTCAGAAACTTATTTGTGATGTGCGCCCTCAACTAACAGTGTTGAAGCTTTCTTTTGATAGAGCAGTTTTGAAACACTCTTTTTGTGGAATCTGCAAGTGGATATTTGTCTAGCTTTGAGGATTTCGTTGGAAACGGGATTACATATAAAAAGCAGACAGCAGCATTCCCAGAATCTTGTTTGTCATGTTTGCATTCAAGTCACAGAGTTGAACATTCCCTTTCAGAGAGCAGGTTTGAAACACTCTTTTTATAGTATCTGGATGTGGACATTTGGAGCGCTTTCAGGCCTATGGTGAAAAAGGAAATATCTTCTCCTGAAAACTAGACAGAAGCATTCTCAGAAACTTATTTGTGATGTGCGCCCTCAACTAACAGTGTTGAACCTTTCTTTTGAAAGAGCAGTTTTGAAACACTCTTTTTGTAAAATCTGCAAGAGGATATTTGGATAGCTTTGAGGATTTCGTTGGAAACGGGATTGTCTTCATATAGAATCTAGACAGAAGCATTCTCAGAAGCTTCATTGGGATGTTTCAATTGAAGTCACAGTGTTGAACAGTCCCTTTCATAGAGCAGGTTTGAAACACTCTTTTTGTAGTATCTGGATGTGGACATTTGGAGCGCTTTCAGGCCTATGGTGAAAAAGGAAATATCTTCCCCTGAAAACTAGACAGAAGCATTCTCAGAAACTTATTTGTGATGTGCGCCTTCAACTAACAGTGTTGAAGCATTCTTTTGATAGAGCAGTTTTGAAACACTCTTTTTGTGGAATCTGCAAGTGGATATTTGTCTAGCTTTGAGGATTTCGTTGGAAACGGGATTACATATAAAAAGCAGACAGCAGCATTCTCAGAAACTTATTTGTGATGTGCGCCCTCAACTAACAGTGTTGAAGCTTTATTTTGATAGAGCAGTTTTGAAACACTCTTTTTGTAATATCTGCAAGAGAATATTTGGATAGCTTTGAGGATTTCGTTGGAAACGGGATTGTCTTCATATAAACTCTAGAAAGAAGCATTCTCAGAAGCTTCATTGGGATGTTTCAATTGAAGTCACAGTGTTGAACAGTCCCTTTCATAGAGCAGGTTTGAAACACTCTTTTTGTAGCATCTGGAAGTGGACATTTGGAGAGTTCTCAGGACTACGGTGAAAAAGGAAATATCTTCCAATAAAAGCTAGATAGAAAGCAATGTCAGAAACTTTTTCATGATGTATCTACTCAGCTAACAGAGTTGAACCTTTCTTTTGAGAGAGCAGTTTTGAAACACTCTTTTTGTGGAATCTGCAAGTGGATATTTCTCTAGCTTTGAGGATTTCGTTGGAAACGGGATTACATATAAAAAGCAGACAGCAGCATTCCCAGAAACTTCTTTGTGATGTTTGCATTCAAGTCACAGAGTTGAACATTCCCTTTCATAGAGCAGGTTTGAAACACTCTTTTTGTAGTATCTGGATGTGGACATTTGGAGCGCTCTCAGGCCTATGGTGAAAAAGGAAATATCTTCCCCTGAAAACTAGACAGAAGCATTCTCAGAAACTTATTTGTGATGTGCGCCCTCAACTAACAGTGTTGAACTTTTCTTTTGATAGAGCAGTTTTGAAACACTCTTTTTGTAAAATCTGCAAGAGGATATTTGGATAGCTTTGAGGATTTCGTTGGAAACGGGATTGTCTTCATATAAAATCTAGACAGAAGCATTCTCAGAAGCTTCATTGGGATGTTTCAATTGAAGTCACAGTATTGAACAGTCCCTTTCATAGAGCAGGTTTGAAACACTCTTTTTGTAGTATCTGGATGTGGACATTTGGAGCGCTTTCAGGCCTATGGTTTGAAAGGAAATATCTTCCCCTGAAAACTAGACAGAAGCATTCTCAGAAACTTATTTGTGATGTGCGCCTTCAACTAACAGTGTTGAAGCATTCTTTTGATAGAGCAGTTTTGAAACACTCTTTTTGTAATATCTGCAAGAGGATATTTGGATAGCTTTGAGGATTTCGTTGGAAACGGGATTAATTATAAAAAGCAGACAGCAGCATTCTCAGAATCTTATTTATGATGTGCGCCCTCAACTAACAGTGTTGAACCTTTCTTTTGATAGAGCAGTTTTGAAACACTCTTTTCGTAAAATCTGCAAGAGGATATTTTGATAGCTTTGAGGATTTCGTTGGAAACGGGATTGTCTTCAAATAAACTCTAGACAGAAGCATTCTCAGAAGCTTCATTGGGATGTTTCAATTGAAGTCACAGTGTTGAACACTCCCTTTCATAGAGCAGGTTTGAAACACTCTTTTTGTAGTATCTGGAAGTGGACATTTGGAGAGATCTCAGGAATACGGTGATAAAGGAAATATCTTCCAATAAAAGCTACATAGAAGCAATGTCAGAAACTTTTTCATGATGTATCTACTCAGCTAACAGAGTTGAACCTTTCTTTTGAGAGAGCAGTTTTGAAACACTCTTTTTGTGGAATCTGCAAGTGGATATTTGTCTAGCTTTGAGGATTTCGTTGGAAACGGGATTACATATAAAAAGCAGACAGCAGCATTCCCAGAAACTTCTTTGTGACGTTTGCATTCAAGTCACAGAGTTGAACATTCCCTTTCATAGAGCAGGTTTGAAACACTCTTTTTGTAGTATCTGGATGTGGACATTTGGAGCGCTTTCAGGCCTATGGTGAAAAAGGAAATATCTTCCCCTGAAAACTAGACAGAAGCATTCTCAGAAACTTATTTGTGATGTGCGCCCTCAACTAACAGTGTTGAACCTTTCTTTTGATAGAGCAGTTTTGAAACACTCTTTTTGTAAAATCTGCAAGAGGATATTTGGATAGCTTTGAGGATTTCGTTGGAAACGGGATTGTCTTCATATAAACTCTAGAGAGAAGCATTCTCAGAAGCTTCATTGGGATGTTTCAATTGAAGTCACAGTGTGGAACAGTCCCTTTCATAGAGCAGGTTTGAAACACTCTTTTTGTAGTATCTGGAAGTGGACATTTGGAGCGCTCTCAGGACTGCGGTGAAAAAGGAAATATCTTCCAATAAAAGCTAGATAGAAGCAATGTCAGAAACTTTTTCATGATGTATCTACTCAGCTAACAGAGTTGAACCTTCCTTTGAGAGAGCAGTTTTGAAACACTCTTTTTGTGGAATCTGCAAGTGGATATTTGTCTAGCTTTGAGGATTTCGTTGGAAACGGGATTACATATAAAAAGCAGACAGCAGCATTCCCAGAAACTTCTTTATGTTGTTTGCATTCAAGTCACAGAGTTGAACATTCCCTTTCATAGAGCAGGTTTGAAACACTCTTTTTGTAGTATCTGGATGTGGACATTTGCAGCGCTTTCAGGCCTAAGGTGAAAAAGGAAATATCTTCCCCTGAAAACTAGACAGAAGCATTCTCCGAAACTTATATGTGATGTGCGCCCTCAACTAACAGTGTTGAAGCTTTCTTTTGATAGAGCAGTTTTGAAACACTCTTTTTGTAATATCTGCAAGAGGATATTTGGATAGCTTTGAGGATTTCGTTGGAAACGGGATTGTCTTCATATAAACTCTAGACAGAAGCATTCTCAGAAGCTTCATTGGGATGTTTCAATTGAAGTTGCAGTGTTGAACAGTCCCTTTCATAGAGCAGGTTTGAAACACTCTTTTTGTAGTATCTGGATGTGGACATTTGGAGCGCTTTCAGGGCTATGTTTTAAAAGGAAATATCTTCCCCTGAAAACTAGACAGAAGCATTCTCAGAAACTTATTTGTTATGTGCGCCCTCAACTAACAGTGTTGAACCTTTCTTTTGATAGAGCAGTTTTGAAACACTCTTTTTGTAATATCTGCAAGAGGATATTTGGATAGCTTTGAGGATTTCGTTGGAAACGGGATTACTTATAAAAAGCAGACAGCAGCATTCTCAGAAACTTATTTGTGATGTGCGCCCTCAACTAACAGTGTTGAAGCTTTCTTTTGATAGAGCAGTTTTGAAACACTCTTTTTGTAATATCTGCAAGAGGATATTTGGATAGCTTTGAGGATTTCGTTGGAAACGGGATTAATTATACAAAGCAGACAGCAGCATTCTCAGAAGCTTCATTGGGATGTTTCAGTTGAAGTCACAGTGTTGAACAGTCCCTTTCATAGAGCAGGTTTGAAACACTCTTTTTGCAGTATCTGGAAGTGGACATTTGGAGCGCTCTCAGGACTGCGGTGAAAAAGGAAATATCTTCCAATAAAAGCTAGATAGAAGCAATGTCAGAAACTTTTTCATGATGTATCTACTCAGCTAACAGAGTTGAACCTTTCCTTTGAGAGAGCAGTTTTGAAACACTCTTTTTGTGGAATCTGCAAGTGGATATTTGTCTAGCTTTGAGGATTTCGTTGGAAACGGGATTACATATAAAAAGCAGACAGCAGCATTCCCAGTAACTTCTTTGTGATGTTTTCATTCAAGTCACAGAGTTGAACATTCCCTTTCATAGAGCAGGTTTGAAACACTCTTTTTGTAGTATCTGGATGTGGACATTTGGAGCGCTTTCAGACCTATGGGGAAAAAGGAAATATCTTCCCCTGAAAACTAGACAGAAGCATTCTCAGAATCTTATTTGTGATGTGCGCCCTCAACTAACAGTGTTGAAGCTTTCTTTTGATAGAGCAGTTTTGAAACACTCTTTTTGTAAAATCTGCAAGAGGATATTTGGATAGCTTTGAGGATTTCATTGCAAACGGGATTGTCTTCATATAAACTCTAGACAGAAGCATTCTCAGAAGCTTCATTGGGATGTTTCAATTGAAGTCACAGTGTTGAACAGTCCCTTTCATAGAGCAGGTTTGAAACACTCTTTTTGTAGTATCTGGATGTGGACATTTGGAGCGCTTTCAGGCATATGGTGAAAAAGGAAATATCTTCCCCTGAAAACTAGACAGAAGCATTCTCAGAAACTTATTTGTGATGTGCGCCCTCAACTAACAGTGTTGAAGCTTTCTTTTGATAGAGCAGTTTTGAAACACTCTTTTTGTAATATCTGCAAGAGGATATTTGGATAGCTTTGAGGATTTCGTTGGAAACGGGATTAATTATACAAAGCAGACAGCTAAGCATTCTCCGAAACTTATTTGTGATGGGCGCCCTCAACTAACAGTGTTGAAGCTTTCTTTTGATAGAGCAGTTTTGAAACACTCTTTTTGTAATATCTGCAAGAGGATATTTGGATAGCTTTCAGGATTTCGTTGGAAACGGGATTGTCTTCATATAAACTCTAGACATAAGCATTCTCAGAAGCTTCATTGGGATGTTTCAGTTGAAGTCACAGTGTTGAACAGTCCCTTTCATAGAGCAGGTTTGAAACACTCTTTTTGTAGTATCTGGAAGTGGACATTTGGAGCGCTCTCAGGACTACGGTGAAAAAGGAAATATCTTCCAATAAAAGCTAGATAGAAGCAATGTCAGAAACTTTTTCATGATGTATCTACTCAGCTAACAGAGTTGAACCTTTCTTTTGAGAGAGCAGTTTTGAAACACTCTTTTTGTGGAATCTGCAAGTGGATATTTGTCTAGCTTTGAGGATTTCGTTGGAAACGGGAATACATATAAAAAGCAGACAGCAGCATTCCCAGAAACTTCTTTGTGATGTTTGCATTCAAGTCACAGAGTTGAACATTCCCTTTCATAGAGCAGGTTTGAAACACTCTTTTTGTAGTATCTGGATGTGGACATTTGGAGCGCTTTCAGGCCTATGGTGAAAAAGGAAATATCTTCCCCTGAAAACTAGACAGAAGCATTCTCAGAAACTTATTTGTGATGTGCGCCCTGAACTAACAGTGTTTAACCTTTCTTTTGATAGAGCAGTTTTGAAACACTCTTTTTGTAATATCTGCAAGAGGATATTTGGATAGCTTTGAGGATTTCGTTGGAAACGGGATTGTCTTCATGTAAACTCTAGACAGAAGCATTCCCAGTAACTTCTTTGTGATGTTTGCATTCAAGTCACAGAGTTGAACATTCCCTTTCAGAGAGCAGGTTTGAAACACTCTTTTTGTAGTATCTGGATGTGGACATTTGCAGCGCTTTCAGGCCTAAGGTGAAAAAGGAACTGTCTTCCCCTGAAAACCAGACAGAAGCATTCTCAGAAACTTATTTGTGATGTGCCCCCTCAACTAACAGTGTTGAAGCTTTCTTTTGATAGAGCAGCTTTGAAACACTCTTTTTGTGGAATCTGCAAGTGGATATTTGTCTAGCTTTGAGGATTTCGTTGGAAACGGGATTACATATAAAAAGCAGACAGCAGCATTCTCAGTAAACTTATTTGTGATGTGCGCCCTCAACTAACAGTGTTGAACCTTTCTTTTGATAGAGCAGTTTTGAAACACTCTTTTTGTAATATCTGCAAGAGGATATTTGGATAGCTTTGAGGATTTCGTTGGAAACGGGATTGTCTTCATATAAACTCTAGACAGAAGCATTCTCAGAAGCTTCATTGGGATGTTTCAATTGAAGTCACAGTGTTGAACAGTCCCTTTCATAGAGCAGCTTTGAAACACTCTTTTTGTAGTATCTGGAAGTGGACATTTGGAACGCTCTCAGGACTGCGGTGAAAAAGGAAATATCTTCCAATAAAAGCTAGATAGAAGCAATGTGAGAAACTATTTCATGATGTATCTACTCAGCTAAAAGAGTTGAACCTTTCTTTTGAGAGAGCAGTTTTGAAACACTCTTTTTGTGGGATCTGCAAGTGGATATTTGTCTAGATTTGAGGATTTCTTTGGAAACGGGATTACATATAAAAAGCAGACAGCAGCATTCCCAGAAACTACTTTGTGATGTTTGCATTCAAGTCACAGAGTTGAAAATTCCCTTTCATAGAGCAGGTTTGAAACACTCTTTTTGTAGTATCTGGATTTGGACATTTGGAGCGCTTTCAGGCCTATGGTGAAAAAGGAAATATCTTCCACTGAAAACTAGACAGAAGTAGTCTCAGAAACTTATTTGTGATGTGCGCCCTCAACTAACAGTGTTGAAGCTTTCTTTTGATAGAGCAGTTTTGAAACATTCTTCTTGTAAAATCTGCAAGAGGATATTTGGATAGCTTTGAGGATTTCGTTGGAAACGGGATTGTCTTCATATTAACCCTAGACAGAAGCATTCTCAGAAGCGTCATTGGGATGTTTCAATTGAAGTCACAGTGTTGAACAGTCCCTTTCATAGAGCAGGTTTGAAACACTCTTTTTGTAGTATCTGGATGTGGACATTTGGAGCGCTTTCAGGCCTATGGTTTAAAAGGAAATATCTTCCCCTGAAAACTAGACAATAGCATTCTCAGAAACTTATTTGTGATGTGCGCCCTCAACTAACAGTGTTGAAGCTTTCTTTTGATAGAGCAGTTTTGAAACACTCTTTTTGTGGAATCTGCAAGTGGATATTTGTCTAGCTTTGAGGATTTCGTTGGAAACGGGATTACATATAAAAAGCAGACAGCAGCATTCCCAGAAACTTCTTTGTGATGTTTGCATTCAAGTCACAGAGTTGAACATTCCCTTTCATAGAGCAGGTTTGAAACACTCTTTTTGTAGTATCCGGATGTGGACATTTGGAGCGCTTTCAGGTCTATGGTGAAAAAGGAAATATCTTCCCCTGAAAACTAGACAGAAGCATTCTCAGAATCTTATTTGTGATGTGCGCCCTCAACTAACAGTGTTGAAGCTTTCTTTTGATAGAGCAGTTTTGAAACACTCTTTTTGTAAAATCTGCAAGAGGATATTTGGATAGCTTTGAGGATTTCGTTGGAAACGGGATTGTCTTCATATAAACTCTACACAGAAGCATTCTCAGAAGCTTCATTGGGATGTTTCAATTGAACTCACAGTGTTGAACAGTCCCTTTCATAGAGCAGGTTTGAAACACTCTTTTTGTAGTATCTGGATGTGGACATTTGGAGCGCTTTCAGGCCTATGGTTTAAAAGGAAATATCTTCCCCTGAAAACTAGACAGAAGCATTCTCAGAAACTTATTTGTGATGTGCGCCCTCAACTAACAGTGTTGAAGCATTCTTTTGATAGAGCAGTTTTGAAACACTCTTTTTGTGGAATCTGCAAGTGGATATTTGTCTAGCTTTGAGGATTTCGTTGGAAACGGGATTACATATAAAAAGCAGACAGCAGCATTCCCAGAAACTTCTTTGTGATGTTTGCATTCAAGTCACAGAGTTGAACATTCCCTTTTATAGAGCAGGTTTGAAACACTCTTTTTGTAGTATCTGGATGTGGACATTTGGAGCGCTTTCAGGCCTATGGTGAAAAAGGAAATATCTTCCCCTGAAAACTAGACAGAAGCATTCTCAGAAACTTATTTGTGATGTGCGCCCTCAACTAACAGTGTTGAACCTTTCTTTTGATAGAGCAGTTTTGAAACACTCTTTTTGTAATATCTGCAAGAGGATATTTGGATAGCTTTGAGGATTTCTTTGGAAACGGGATTGTCTTCATATAAACTCTAGACAGAAGCATTCTCAGAAGCTTCATTGGGATGTTTCAATTAAAGTCACAGTGTTGAACAGTCCCTTTCATAGAGCAGGTTTGAAACACTCTTTTTGTAGTATCTGGAAGTGCACATTTGGAGAGATCTCAGGAATACGGTGATAAAGGAAATATCTTCCAATAAAAGCTAGATAGAAGCAATGTCAGAAACTTTTTCATGATGTATCTACTCAGCTAACAGAGTTGAACCTTTCTTTTGAGAGAGCAGTTTTGAAACACTCTTTTTGTGGAATCTGCAAGTGGATATTTGTCTAGCTTTGAGGATTTCGTTGGAAACGGGATTACATATAAAAAGCAGACAGCAGCATTCCCAGAAACTTCTTTGTGATGTTTGCATTCAAGTCACAGAGTTGAACATTCCCTTTCATAGAGCAGGTTTGAAACACTCTTTTTGTAGTATCTGGATGTGGACATTTGGAGCGCTTTCAGGCCTATGGTGAAAAAGGAAATATCTTCCCCTGAAAATTAGACAGAAGCATTCTCAGAAACTTATTTGTGATGTGCGCCCTCAACTAACAGTGTTAAACCTTTCTTTTGATAGAGGAGTTTTGAAACACTCTTTTTGTAAAATCTGCAAGAGGATATTTGGATAGCTTTGAGGATTTCGTTGGAAACGGGATTGTCTTCATATTAACCCTAGACAGTAGCATTCTCAGAAGCTTCATTGGGATGTTTCAATTGAAGTCACAGTGTTGAACAGTCCCTTTCATAGAGCAGGTTTGAAACACTCTTTTTGTAGTATCTGGATGTGGACATTTGGAGCGCTTTCAGGCCTATGGTGAAAAAGGAAATATCTTCCCCTGAAAACTAGACAGAAGCATTCTCAGAAACTTATTTGTGATGTGCCCCCTCAACTAACAGTGTTGAAGCTTTCTTTTGATAGAGCAGTTTTGAAACACTCTTTTTGTGGAATCTGCAAGTGGATATTTGTCTAGCTTTGAGGATTTCGTTGGAAACGGGATTACATATAAAAAGCAGACAGCAGCATTCTCAGAAACTTATTTGTGATGTGCGCCCTCAACTAACAGTGTTGAAGCTTTCTTTTGATAGAGCAGTTTTGAAACACTCTTTTTGTAAAATCTGCAAGAGGATATTTGTATAGCTTTGAGGATTTCGTTGGAAACGGGATTGTCTTCATATAAACTCTAGACAGAAGCATTCTCAGAAGCTTCATTGGGATGTTTCAATTGAAGTCACAGTGTTGAACAGTCCCTTTCATAGAGCAGGTTTGAAACACTCTTTTTGTAGTATCTGGAAGTGGACATTTTGAGAGATCTCAGGAATACGGTGATAAAGGAAATATCTTCCAATAAAAGCTAGATAGAAGCAATGTCAGAAACTTTTTCATGATGTATCTACGCAGCTAACAGAGTTGAACCTTTTTTTTGAGAGAGCAGTTTTGAAACACTCTTTTTGTGGAATCTGCAAGTGGATGTTTGTCTAGCTTTGAGGATTTCGTTGGAAACGGGATTACATATAAAAAGCAGACAGCAGCATTCCCAGAAACTTCTTTGTGATGTTTGCATTCAAGTCACAGAGTTGAACATTCCCTTTCATAGAGCAGGTTTGAAACACTCTTTTTGTAGTATCTGGATGTGGACATTTGGAGCGCTTTCAGGCCTATGGTGAAAAAGGAAATATCTTCCCCTGAAAACTAGACAGAAGCATTCTCAGAAACTTATTTGTGATGTGCGCCCTCAACTAACAGTGTTGAACGTTTCTGTTGATAGAGCAGTTTTGAAACACTCTTTTTGTAAAATCTGCAAGAGGATATTTGGATAGCTTTGAGGATTTCGCTTGGAAACGGGATTGTCTTCATATAGAATCTAGACAGAAGCATTCTCAGAAGCTTCATTGGGATGTTTCAATTGAAGTCACAGTGTTGAACAGTCCCTTTCATAGAGCAGGTTTGAAACACTCTTTTTGTAGTATCTGGAAGTGGACATTTGGAGCGTTCTCAGGACTACGGTGAAAAAGGAAATATCTTCCAATAAAAGCTAGATAGAAGCAATGTCAGAAACTTTTTCATGATGTATCTACTCAGCTAACAGAGTTGAACCTTTCTTTTGAGAGAGCAGTTTTGAAACACTCTTTTTGTGGAATCTGCAAGTGGATATTTGTCTAGCTTTGAGGATTTCGTTGGAAACGGGATTACATATAAAAAGCAGACAGCAGCATTCTCAGAAACTTCTTTGTGATGTTTGCATTGAAGTCCCGGATTTGAACATTCCCTTTCATAGAGCAGGTTTGAAACACGCCTTTTGTCATATCTAGAAGTTGTCCGTTTGGAGCGCATTCCGGCTTGTGTTGAAAAAGGAAATATCCTCCCATAAAAACTAGATAGAAGCATTCTCAGAAACTTATTTGTGATGTGAGCCCTCAACTAACAGTGTTGAACCTTTCTTTTGATAGAGCAGTTTTGAAACACTCTTTTTGTAAAATCTGCAAGAGGATATTTGGATAGCTTTGAGGATTTCGTTGGAAACGGGATTGTCTTCATATAGAATCTAGACAGAAGCATTCTCAGAAGCTTCATTGGGATGTTTCAATTGAAGTCACAGTGTTGAACAGTCCCTTTCATAGAGCAGGTTTGAAACACTCTTTTTGTAGTATCTGGATGTGGACATTTGGAGCGCTTTCAGGCCTATGGTGAAAAAGGAAATATCTTCCCCTGAAAACTAGACAGAAGCATTCTCAGAAACTTATTTGTGATGTGCGCCCTCAACTAACAGTGTTGAAGCTTTCTTTTGATAGAGCAGTTTTGAAACACTCTTTTTGTGGAATCTGCAAGTGGATATTTGTCTAGCTTTGAGAATTTCGTTGGAAACGGGATTACATATAAAAAGCAGACAGCAGCATTCTCAGTAAACTTATTTGTGATGTGCGCCCTCAACTAACAGTGTTGAACCTTTCTTTTGATAGAGCAGTTTTGAAACACTCTTTTTGTAATATCTGCAAGAGGATATTTGGATAGCTTTGAGGATTTCGTTGGAAACGGGATTGTCTTCATATAAACTCTAGACAGAAGCATTCTCAGAAGCTTCATTGGGATGTTTCAATTGAAGTCACAGTGTTGAACAGTCCCTTTCATAGAGCAGGTTTGAAACACTCTTTTTGTAGCATCTGGAAGTGGACATTTGGAGCGCTCTCAGGACTATGGTGAAGAAGGAAATATCTTCCAATAAAAGCTAGATAGAAGCAATATCAGAAACTTTTTCATGATGTATCTACTCAGATAACAGAGTTGAACCTTTTTTTTTAGAGAGCAGTTTTGAAACACTCTTTTTGTGGAATCTGCAAGTGGATATTGGTCTAGCTTTGAGGATTTCGTTGGAAACGGGATTGTCTTCATATAAAATCTAGACAGAAGCATTCCCAGAAACTTCTTTGTGATGTTTGCATTCAAGTCACAGAGTTGAACATTCCCTTTCATAGAGCAGGTTTGAAACACTCTTTTTGTAGTATCTGGATGTGGACATTTGGAGCGCTTTCAGGCCTATGGTGAAAAAGGAAATATCTTCCCCTGAAAACTAGACAGAAGCATTCTCAGAATCTTATCTGTGATGTGCGCCCTCAACTAACAGTGTTGAAGCTTTCTTTTGATAGAGCAGTTTTGAAACACTCTTTTCGTAAAATCTGCAAGAGGATATTTTGATAGCTTTGAGGATTTCGTTGGAAACGGGATTGTCTTCATATAAACTCTAGACAGAAGCATTCTCAGAAGCTTCATTGGGATGTTTCAATTGAAGTCACAGTGTTGAACAGTCCCTTTCATAGAGCAGGTTTGAAACACTCTTTTTGTAGTATCTGGAGGTGGACATTTGGAGAGATCTCAGGAATACGGTGATAAAGGAAATATCTTCCAATAAAAGCTAGATAGAAGCAATGTCAGAAACTTTTTCATGATGTATCTACTCAGCTAACAGAGTTGAACCTTTCTTTTGAGAGAGCAGTTTTGAAACACTCTTTTTGTGGAATCTGCAAGTGGATATTTGTCTAGCTTTGAGGATTTCGTTGGAAACGGGATTACATATAAAAAGCAGACAGCAGCATTCCCAGTAACTTCTTTGTGACGTTTGCATTCAAGTCACAGAGTTGAACATTCCCTTTCATAGAGCAGGTTTGAAACACTCTTTTTGTAGTATCTGGATGTGGACATTTGGAGCGCTTTCAGGCCTATGGTGAAAAAGGAAATATCTTCCCCTGAAAACTAGACAGAAGAATTCTCAGAATCTTATTTGTGATGTGCGCCATCAACTAACAGTGTTGAAGCTTTCTTTTGATAGAGCAGTTTTGAAACACTCTTTTTGTAAAATCTGCAAGAGGATATTTGGATAGCTTTGAGGATTTCGTTGGAAACGGGATTGTCTTCATATAAACTCTAGACAGAAGCATTCTCAGAAGCGTCATTGGGATGTTTCAATTGAAGTCACAGTGTTGAACATTCCCTTTCATAGAGCAGGTTTGAAACACTCTTTTTGTAGTATCTGGATGTGGACATTTGGAGCGCTTTCAGGCCTATGGTTTAAAAGGAAATATCTTCCCCTGAAAACTAGACAGAAGCATTCTCAGAAACTTATTTGTGATGTGCGCCCTCAACTAACAGTGTTGAAGCTTTCTTTTGATAGAGCAGTTTTGAAACACTCTTTTTGTGGAATCTGCAAGTGGATATTTGTCTAGCTTTGAGGATTTCGTTGGAAACGGGATTACATATAAAAAGCAGACAGCAGCATTCTCAGTAAACTTATTTGTGATGTGCGCCCTCAACTAACAGTGTTGAACCTTTCTTTTGATAGAGCAGTTTTGAAACACTCTTTTTGTAATATCTGCAAGAGGATATTTGGATAGCTTTGAGGATTTCGTTGGAAACGGGATTGTCTTCATATAAACTCTAGACAGAAGCATTCTCAGAAGCTTCATTGGGATGTTTCAATTGAAGTCACAGTGTTGAACATTCCCTTTCATAGAGCAGGTTTGAAACACTCTTTTTGTAGTATCTGGAAGTGGACATTTGGAGCGCTCTCATGACTACGGTGAAAAAGGAAATATCTTCCAATAAAAGCTAGATAGAAGCAATGTCAGAAACATTTTCATGATGTATCTACTCAGCTAACAGAGTTGAACCTTTCTTTTGAGAGAGCAGTTTTGAAACACTCTTTTTGTGGAATCTGCAAGTGGGTATTTGTCTAGCTTTGAGGATTTCGTTGGAAACGGGATTACATATAAAAAGCAGACAGCAGCAATCCCAGTAACTTCTTTGTGATGTTTGCATTCAAGTCACAGAGTTGAACATTCCCTTTCATAGAGCAGTTTTGAAACACTCTTTTTGTAGTATCTGGATGTGGACATTTGGAGCGCTTTCAGGCCTATGGTGAAAAAGGAAATATCTTCCCCTGAAAACTAGACAGAAGCATTCTCAGAAACTTATTTGTGATGTGCGCCCTCAACTAACAGTGTTGAACCTTTCTTTTGATAGAGCAGTTTTGAAACACTCTTTTTGTAATATCTGCAAGAGGATATTTGGATAGCTTTGAGGATTTCGTTGGAAACGGGATTGTCTTCATATAAACTCTAGACAGAAGCATTCTCAGAAGCTTCATTGGGATGTTTCAATTGAAGTCACAGTGTTGAACAGTCCCTTTCATAGAGCAGGTTTGAAACACTCTTTTTGTAGTATCTGGAAGTGGACATTTGGAGAGATCTCAGGAGTACGGTGATAAAGGAAATATCTTCCAATAAAAGCTAGATAGAAGCAATGTCAGAAACTTTTTCATGATGTATCTACTCAGCTAACAGAGTTGAACCTTTCTTTTGAGAGAGCAGTTTTGAAACACTCATTTTGTGGAATCTGGAAGTGGATACTTGTCTAGATTTGAGGATTTCGTTGGAAACGGGATTACATATAAAAAGCAGACAGCAGCATTCCCAGTAACATCTTTGTGATGTTTGCATTCAAGTCACAGAGTTGAACATTCCCTTTCATAGAGCAGGTTTGAAACACTCTTTTTGTAGTATCTGGATGTGGACATTTGGAGCGCTTTCAGGCCTATGGTGAAAAAGGAAATATCTTCCCCTGAAAACTAGACAGAAGCATTCTCAGAAACTAATTTGTGATGTGCGCCCTCAACTAACAGTGTTGAAGCTTTCTTTTGATAGAGCAGTTTTGAAACACTCTTTTTGTAATATCTGCAAGAGGATATTTGGATATCTTTGAGGATTTCGTTGGAAACGGGATTGTCTTCATATAAACTCTAGACAGAAGCATTCTCAGAAGCTTCATTGGGATGTTTCAATTGAAGTCACAGTGTTGAACAGTCCCTTTCATAGAGCAGGTTTGAAACACTCTTTTTGTAGTATCTGGAAGTGGACATTTGGAGAGATCTCAGGAATACGGTGATAAAGGAAATATCTTCCAATAAAAGCTAGATAGAAGCAAAGTCAGAAACTTTTTCATGATGTATCTACTCAGCTAACAGAGTTGAACCTTTCTTTTGAGAGAGCAGTTTTGAAACACTCTTTTTGTGGAATCTGCAAGTGGATATTTGTCTAGCTTTGAGGATTTCGTTGGAAACGGGATTACATATAAAAAGCAGACAGCAGCATTCCCAGAAACTTCTTTGTGAAGTTTGCATTCAAGTCACAGAGTTGAACATTCCCTTTCATAGAGCAGGTTTGAAACACTCTTTTTGTAGTATCTGTATGTGGACATTTGGAGCGCTTTCAGGCCTATGGTGAAAAAGGAAATATCTTCCCCTGAAAACTAGACAGAAGCATTCTCAGAAACTTATTTGTGATGTGCGCCCTCAACTAACAGTGTTGAACCTTTCTTTTGATAGAGCAGTTTTGAAACACTCTTTTTGTAAAATCTGCAAGAGGATATTTGGATAGCTTTGAGGATTTCGTTGGAAACGGAATTGTCTTCATATAAACTCTAGACAGAAGCATTCTCAGAAGCTTCATTGGGATGTTTCAATTGAAGTCACAGTGTTGAACAGTCCCTTTCATAGAGCAGGTTTCAAACACTCTTTTTGTAGTATCTGGATGTGGACATTTGGAGCGCTTTCAGGCCTATGGTTTAAAAGGAAATATCTTCCCCTGAAAACTAGACAGAAGCATTCTCAGAAACTTATTTGTGATGTGCGCCCTCAACTAACAGTGTTGAAGCATTCTTTTGATAGAGCAGTTTTGAAACACTCTTTTTGTGGAATCTGCAAGTGGATATTTGTCTAGCTTTGAGGATTTCGTTGGAAACGGGATTACATATGAAAAGCAGACAGCAGCATTCCCAGAAACTTCTTTGTGATGTTTGCATTCAACTCACAGAGTTGAACATTCCCTTTCATAGAGCAGGTTTGAAACACTCTTTTTGTAGTATCTGGATGTGGACATTTGGAGCGCTTTCAGGCCTATGGTGAAAAAGGAAATATCTTCCCCTGAAAACTAGACAGAAGCATTCTCAGAAACTTATTTGTGATGTGCGCCCTCAACTAACAGTGTTGAAGCTTTCTTTTGATAGAGCAGTTTTGAAACACTCTTTTTGTAATATCTGCAAGAGGATATTTGGATAGCTTTGAGGATTTCGTTGGAAACGGGATTAATTATAAAAAGCAGACAGCAGCATTCTCAGAAACTTATTTGTGATGTGCGCCCTCAACTAACAGTGTTGAAGCTTTATTTTGATAGAGCAGTTTTGAAACACTCTTTTTGTAATATCTGCAAGAGAATATTTGGATAGCTTTGAGGATTTCGTTGGAAACGGGATTGTCTTCATATAAACTCTAGAAAGAAGCATTCTCAGAAGCTTCATTGGGATGTTTCAATTGAAGTCACAGTGTTGAACAGTCCCTTTCATAGAGCAGGTTTGAAACACTCTTTTTGTAGTATCTGGAAGTGGACATTTGGAGCGCTCTCAGGACTACGGTGAAAAAGGAAGTATCTTCCAATAAAAGCTAGATAGAAGCAATGTCAGAAACTTTTTCATGATGTATCTACTCAGCTAACAGAGTGGAACCTTTCTTTTGAGAGAGAAGTTTTGAAACACTCTTTTTGTGGAATCTGCAAGTGGATATTTGTCTAGCTTTGAGGATTTCGTTGGAAACGGGTTTACATATAAAAAGCAGACAGCAGCATTCCCAGAATCTTCTTTGTGATGTTTGCATTCAAGTCACAGAGTTGAACATTCCCTTTCATAGAGCAGGTTTGAAACACTCTTTTTGTAGTATCTGGATGTGGACATTTGGAGCGCTTTCAGGCCTATGGTGAAAAAGGAAATATCTTCCCCTGAAAACTAGACAGAAGCATTCTCAGAATCTTATTTGTGATGTGCGCCCTCAACTAACAGTGTTGAAGCTTTCTTTTGATAGAGCAGTTTTGAAACACTCTTTTTGTAAAATCTGCAAGAGGATATTTGGATAGCTTTGAGGATTTCGTTGGAAACGGGATTGTCTTCATATAAACTCCAGACAGAAGCATTCTCAGAAGCTTCATTGGGATGTTTCAATTGAAGTTGCAGTGTTGAACAGTCCCTTTCATAGAGCAGGTTTGAAACACTCTTTTTGTAGTATCTGGATGTGGACATTTGGAGCGCTTTCAGGCCTATGGTTTAAAAGGAAATATCTTCCCCTGAAAACTAGACAGAAGCATTCTCAGAAACTTATTTGTGATGTGCGCCCTCAACTAAGAGTGTTGAAGCATTCTTTTGATAGAGCAGTTTTGAAACACTCTTTTTGTGGAATCTGCAAGTGGATATTTGTCTAGCTTTGAGGATTTCGTTGGAAACGGGATTACATATAAAAAGCAGACAGCAGCATTCCCAGAAACTTCTTTGTGATGTTTGCATTCACGTCACAGAGTTGAACATTCCCTTTCATAGAGCAGGTTTGAAACACTCTTTTTGTAGTATCTGGATGTGGACATTTGGAGCGCTTTCAGGCCTATGGTGAAAAAGGAAATATCTTCCCCTGAAAACTAGACAGAAGCATTCTCAGAATCTTATTTGTGATGTGCGCCCTCAACTAACAGTGTTGAAGCTTTCTTTTGATAGAGCAGTTTTGAAACACTCTTTTTGTAAAATCTGCAAGAGGATATTTGGATAGCTTTGAGGATTTCGTTGGAAACGGGATTGTCTTCATATAAACTCTAGACAGAAAGCATTCTCAGAAGCGTCATTGGGATGTTTCAATTGAAGTCACAGTGTTGAACAGTCCCTTTCATAGAGCAGGTTTGAAACACTCTTTTTGTAGTATCTGGATGTGGACATTTGGAGCGCTTTCAGGCCTATGGTTTAAAAGGAAATATCTTCCCCTGAAAACTAGACAGAAGCATTCTCAGAAACTTATTTGTGATGTGCGCCCTCAACTAACGGTGTTGAACCTTTCTTTTGATAGAGCAGTTTTGAAACACTCTTTTTGTAATATCTGCAAGAGGATATTTGGATAGCTTTGATGATTTCGTTGGAAACGGGATTAATTATAAAAAGCCGACAGCTAAGCATTCTCCGAAACTTATTTGTGATGGGCGCCCTCAACTAACAGTGTTGAAGCTTTCTTTTGATAGAGCAGTTTTGAAACACTCTTTTTGTAATATCTGCAAGAGGATATTTGGATAGCTTTCAGGATTTCGTTGGAAACGGGATTGTCTTCATATAAACTCTAGACATAAAGCATTCTCAGAAGCTTCATTGGGATGTTTCAGTTGAAGTCACAGTGTTGAACAGTCCCTTTCATAGAGCAGGTTTGAAACACTCTTTTTGTAGTATCTGGAAGTGGACATTTGGAGCGCTCTCAGGACTGCGGTGAAAAAGGAAATATCTTCCAATAAAAGCTAGATAGAAGCAATGTCAGAAACTTTTTAATGATGTATCTACTCAGCTAACAGAGTTGAACCTTTCTTTTGAGAGAGCAGTTTTGAAACACTCTTTTTGTGGAATCTGCAAGTGGATATTTGTCTAGCTTTGAGGATTTCGTTGGAAACGGGATTACATATAAAAAGCAGACAGCAGCATTCCCAGAAATTTCTTTGTGATGTTTGCATTCAAGTCACAGAGTTGAACATTCCCTTTCTTAGAGCAGGTTTGAAACACTCTTTTTGTAGTATCTGGATGTGGACATTTGGAGCGCTTTCAGGCCTATGGTGAAAAAGGAAATATCTTCCCCTGAAAACTAGACAGAAGCATTCTCAGAAACTTATTTGTGATGTGCGCCCTCAACTAACAGTGTTGAACTTTTCTTTTGATAGAGCAGTTTTGAAACACTCTTTTTGTAAAATCTGCAAGAGGATATTTGGATAGCTTTGAGGATTTCGTTGGAAACGGGATTGTCTTCATATAAAATCTAGACAGAAGCATTCTCAGAAGCTTCATTGGGATGTTTCAATTGAAGTCACAGTGTTGAACAGTCCCTTTCATAGAGCAGGTTTGAAACACTCTTTTTGTAGTATCTGGATGTGGACATTTGGAGCGCTTTCAGGCCTATGGTTTAAAAGGAAATATCTTCCCCTGAAAACTAGACAGAAGCATTCTCAGAAACTTATTTGTGATGTGCGCCCTCAACTAACAGTGTTGAAGCTTTCTTTTGATAGAGCAGTTTTGAAACACTCTTTTTGTGGAATCTGCAAGTGGATATTTGTCTAGCTTTGAGGATTTCGTTGGAAACGGGATTACATATAAAAAGCAGACAGCAGCATTCTCAGTAAACTTATTTGTGATGTGCGCCCTCAACTAACAGTGTTGAACCTTTCTTTTGATAGAGCAGTTTTGAAACACTCTTTTTGTAATATCTGCAAGAGGATATTTGGATAGCTTTGAGGATTTCGTTGGAAACGGGATTGTCTTCATATAAACTCTAGACAGAAGCATTCTCAGAAGCTTCATTGGGATGTTTCAATTGAAGTCACAGTGTTGAACAGTCCCTTTCATAGAGCAGGTTTGAAACACTCTTTTTGTCATATCTGGAAGTGGACATTTGGAGCGTTCTCAGGACTACAGTGAAAAAGGAAATATCTTCCAATAAAAGCTAGATAGAAGCAATGTCAGAAACTTTTTCATGATGTATCTACTCAGCTAACAGAGTTGAACCTTTCCTTTGAGAGAGCAGTTTTGAAACACTCTTTTTGTGGAATCTGCAAGTGGATATTTGTCTAGCTTTGAGGATTTCGTTGGAAACGGGATTACATATAAAAAGCAGACAGCATCATTCCCAGTAACTTCTTTGTGATGTTTGCATTCAAGTCACAGAGTTGAACATTCCCTTTCATAGAGCAGGTTTGAAACACTTTTTTTGTAGTATCTGGATGTGTACATTTGGAGCGCTTTCAGGCCTATGGTGAAAAAGGAAATATCTTCCAATAAGAGCTAGATAGAAGCATTCTCAGAAACTTATTTTTGATGTGCGCCCTCAACTAACAGTGTTGAAGCTTTCTTTTGATAGAGCAGTTTTGAAACACTCTTTTTGTAATATCTGCAAGAGGATATTTGGATAGCTTTGAGGATTTCGTTGGAAACGGGATTGTCTTCATATAAACTCTAGACAGAAGCATTCTCAGAAGCTTCATTGGGATGTTTCAATTGAAGTCACAGTGTTGAACAGTCCCTTTCATAGAGCAGGTTTGAAACACTCTTTTTGTAGTATCTGGATGTGGACATTTGGAGCGCTTTCAGGCCTATGGTTTAAAAGGAAATATCTTCCCCTGAAAACTAGACAGAAGCATTCTCAGAAACTTATTTGGGATGTGCGCCCTCAACTAACAGTGTTGAAGCTTTCTTTTGATAGAGCAGTTTTGAAACACTCTTTTTGTGGAATCTGCAAGTGGATGTTTGTCTAGCTTTGAGGATTTCGTTGGAAACGGGATTACATATAAAAAGCAGACAGCAGCATTCTCAGAATCTTATTTGTGATGCGCGCCCTCAACTAACAGTGTTGAAGCTTTCTTTTGATAGAGCAGTTTTTAAACACTCTTTTTGTAAAATCTGCAAGAGGATATTTGGATAGCTTTGAGGATTTCGTTGGAAACGGGATTGTCTTCATATTAACCCTAGACAGTAGGATTCTCAGAAGCTTCATTGGGATGTTTCAATTGAAGTCACAGTGTTGAACAGTCCCTTTCATAGAGCAGGTTTGAAACACTCTTTTTGTAGTATCTGGAAGTGGACTTGTGGAGCGTTCTCAGGACTACAGTGAAAAAGGAAATATCTTCCAATAAAAGCTAGATAGAAGCAATGTCAGAAACTTTTTCATGATGTATCTACTCAGCTAACAGAGTTGAACCTTTCCTTTGAGAGAGCAGTTTTGAAACACTCTTTTTGTGGAATCTGCAAGTGGATATTTGTCTAGCTTTGAGGATTTCGTTGGAAACGGGATTGTCTTCATATAAACTCTAGACAGAAGCATTCTCAGAAGCTTCATTGGGATGTTTCAATTGAAGTCACAGTGTTGAACAGTTCCTTTCATAGAACAGGTTTGAAACACTCTTTTTGTAGTATCTGGAAGTGGACATTTGGAGCGCTCTCAGGACTATGGTGAAAAAGGAAATATCTTCCAATAAAAGCTACATAGAAGCAATGTCAGAAACTTTTTCATGATGTATCTACTCAGCTAACAGAGTTGAAACTTTCCTTTGAGAGAGCAGTTTTGAAACACTCTTTTTGTGGAATCTGCAAGTGGATATTTGTCCAGCTTTGAGGATTTCGTTGGAAACGGGATTACATATAAAAAGCAGACAGCAGCATTCCCAGTAACTTCTTTGTGATGTTTTCATTCAAGTCACAGAGTTGAACATTCCCTTTCATAGAGCAGGTTTGAAACACTCTTTTTGTACTATCTGGATGTGGACATTTGGAGCGCTTTCAGGCCTATGGTGAAAAAGGAAATATCTTCCCCTGAAAAGTAGACAGAAGCATTCTCAGAAACTTATTTGTGATGTGCGCCCTCAACTAACAGTGTTGAACCTTTCTTTTGATAGAGCAGTTTTGAAACACTCTTTTTGTAATATCTGCAAGAGGATATTTGGATAGCTTTGAGGATTTCGTTGGAAACGGGATTGTCTTCATATAAACTCTAGACAGAAGCATTCTCAGAAGCTTCATTGGGATGTTTCAATTGAAGTCACAGTGTTGAACAGTCCCTTTCATAGAGCAGGTTTGAAACACTCTTTTTGTAGTATCTGGAAGTGGACATTTGGAGAGATCTCAGGACTACGGTGAAAAAGGAAATATCTTCCAATAAAAGCTAGATAGAAGCAATGTCAGAAACTTTTTCATGACGTATCTACTCAGCTAACAGAGTTGAACCTTTTTTTTGAGAGAGCAGTTTTGAAACACTCTTTTTGTTGGATCTGCAGGTGGATATTTGTATAGCTTTGAGGATTTCGTTGGAAACGGGATTACATATAAAAAGCAGACAGCAGCATTCCCAGAAACTTCTTTGTGATGTTTGCATTCAAGTCACAGAGTTGAACATTCCCTTTCATAGAGCAGGTTTGAAACACTCTTTTTGTAGTATCTGGATGTGGACATTTGGAGCGCTTTCAGGCCTATGGTGAAAAAGGAAATATCTTCCCCTGAAAACTAGACAGAAGCATTCTCAGAAACTTATTTGTGATGTGCGCCCTCAACTAACAGTGTTGAACCTTTCTTTTGATAGAGCAGTTTTGAAACACTCTTTTTGTAATATCTGCAAGAGGATATTTGGATAGCTTTGAGGATTTCGTTGGAAACGGGATTGTCTTCATATAAACTCTAGACAGTTGCATTCCCAGAAACTTCTTTGTGAAGTTTGCATTCAAGTCACAGAGTTGAACATTCCCTTTCATAGAGCAGGTTTGAAACACTCTTTTTGTAGTATCTGTATGTGGACATTTGGAGTGCTTTCAGGCCTATGGTGAAAAAGGAAATATCTTCCCCTGAAAACTAGACAGAAGCATTCTCAGAATCTTATTTGTGATGTGCGCCCTCAACTAACAGTGTTGAAGCTTTCTTTTGATAGAGCAGTTTTGAAACACTCTTTTTGTGGAATCTGTAAGTGGATATTTGTCTAGCTTTGAGGATTTCGTTGGAAACGGGATTACATATAAAAAGCAGACAGCAGCATTCTCAGTAAACTTATTTGTGATGTGCGCCCTCAACTAACAGTGTTGAACCTTTCTTTTGATAGAGCAGTTTTGAAACACTCTTTTTGTAATATCTGCAAGAGGATATTTGGATAGCTTTGAGGATTTCGTTGGAAACGGGATTGTCTTCATATAAACTCTAGACAGAAGCATTCTCAGAAGCTTCATTGGGATGTTTCAATTGAAGTCACAGTGTTGAACAGTTCCTTTCATAGAACAGGTTTGAAACACTCTTTTTGTAGTATCTGGAAGTGGACATTTGGAGCGCTCTCAGGACTACGGTGAAAATGGAAATATCTTCCAATAAAAGCTACATAGAAGCAATGTCAGAAACTTTTTCATGATGTATCTACTCAGCTAACAGAGTTGAACCTTTCCTTTGAGAGAGCAGTTTTGAAACACTCTTTTTGTGGAATCTGCAAGTGGATATTTGTCTAGCTTTGAGGATTTCGTTGGAAACGGGATTACATATAAAAAGCAGACAGCAGCATTCCCAGTAACTTCTTTGTGATGTTTGCATTCAAGTCACAGAGTTGAACATTGCCTTTCATAGAGCAGGTTTGAAACACTCTTTTTGTAGTATCTGGATGTGGACATTTGGAGCGCTTTCAGGCCTGTGGTGAAAAAGGAAATATCTTCTCCTGAAAACTAGACAGAAGCATTCTCAGAATCTTATTTGTGATGTGCGCCCTCAACTAACAGTGTTGAAGCTTTCTTTTGATAGAGCAGTTTTGAAACACTCTTTTTGTAAAATCTGCAAGAGGATATTTGGATAGCTTTGAGGATTTCATTGGAAACGGGATTGTCTTCATATAAACTCTAGACAGAAGCATTCTCAGAAGCTTCATTGGGATGTTTCAATTGAAGTCACAGTGTTGAACAGTCCCTTTAATAGAGCAGGTTTGAAACACTCTTTTTGTAGTATCTGGAAGTGGACATTTGGAGAAATCTCAGGACTACGGTGAAAAAGGAAATATCTTCCAATAAAAGCTACATAGAAGCAATGTCAGAAACTTTTTCATGATGTATCTACTCAGCTAACAGAGTTGAACCTTTCCTTTGAGAGAGCAGTTTTGAAACACTCTTTTTGTGGAATCTGCAAGTGGATATTTGTCTAGCTTTGAGGATTTCGTTGGAAACGGGATTACATATAAAAAGCAGACAGCAGCATTCCCAGAAACTTCTTTGTGATATTTGCATTCAAGTCACAGACTTGAACATTCCCTTTCATAGAGCAGGTATGAAACACTCTTTTTGTAGTATCTGGATGTGGACATTTGGAGCGCTTTCAGGCCTATGGTGAAAAAGGAAATATCTTCCACTGAAAACTAGACAGAAGCATTCTCAGAAACTTATTTGTGATGTGCGCCCTCAACTAACAGTGTTGAACCTTTCTTTTGATAGAGCAGTTTTGAAACACTCTTTTTGTAAAATCTGCAAGAGGATATTTGGATAGATTTGAGGATTTCTTTGGAAACGGGATTGTCTTCATATTAAATGTAGACAGAAGCATTCTCAGAAGCTTCATTGGGATGTTTCAATTGAAGTCACAGTGTTGAACAGTCCCTTTCATAAAGCAGGTTTCAAACACTCTTTTTGTAGTATCTGGATGTGGACATTTGGAGCGCTTTCAGGCCTATGGTTTAAAAGGAAATATCTTCCCCTGAAAACTAGACAGAAGCATTCTCAGAAACTTATTTGTGATGTGCGCCCTCAACTAACAGTGTTGAAGCTTTCTTTCGATAGAGCAGTTTTGAAACACTCTTTTTGTGGAATCTGCAAGTGGATATTTGTCTAGCTTTAAGGATTTCGTTGGAAACGGGATTACATATAAAAAGCAGACAGCAGCATTCTCAGCAAACTTATTTGTGATGTGCGCCCTCAACTAACAGTGTGGAACTTTTCTTTTGATAGAGCAGTTTTGAAACACTCTTTTTGTAAAATCTGCAAGAGGATATTTGGATAGCTTTGAGGATTTCGTTGGAAACGGGATTGTCTTCATATAGAATCTAGACAGAAGCATTCTCAGAAGCTTCATTGGGATGTTTCAATTGAAGTCACAGTGTTGAACAGTCCCTTTCATAGAGCAGGTTTGAAACACTCTTTTTGTAGTATCTGGAAGTGGACATTTGTAGAGATCTCAGGAATACGGTGATAAAGGAAATATCTTCCAATAAAAGCTAGATAGAAGCAATGTCAGAAACTTTTTCATGATGTATCTACTCAGCTAACAAAGTTGAACCTTCATTTGAGAGAGCAGTTTTGAAACACTCGTTTTGTGGAATCTGCAAGTGGATATTTGTCTAGCTTTGAGGATTTCGTTGGAAACGGGATTACATATAAAAAGCAGACAGCAGCATTCCCAGAAAGTTCTTTGTGAAATTTGCATTCAAGTCAGAGACTTGAACATTCCCTTTCATAGAACAGGTTTGAAACACTCTTTTTGTAGTATCTGGATGTGGACATTTGGAGCGCTTTCAGGCCTACGGTGAAAAAGGAAATATCTTCCCCTGAAAACTAGAAAGAAGCATTCTCAGAAACTTATTTGTGATGTGCGCCCTCAACTAACAGTGTTGAACCTTTCTTTTGATAGAGCAGTTTTGAAACACTCTTTTTGTAAAATCTGCAAGAGGATATTTGGATAGCTTTGAGGATTTCGTTGGAAACGGGATTGTCTTCATATAGAATCTAGACAGAAGCATTCTCAGAAGCTTCATTGGGATGTTTCAATTGAAGTTGCAGTGTTGAACAGTCCCTTTCATAGAGCAGGTTTGAAACACTCTTTTTGTAGTATCTGGATGTGGACATTTGGAGCGCTTTCAGGCCTATGGTTTAAAAGGAAATATCTTCCCCTGAAAACTAGACAGAAGCATTCTCAGAAACTTATTTGTGATGTGCGCCCTCAACTAACAGTGTTGAAGCTTTCTTTTGATAGAGCAGTTTTGAAACACTCTTTTTGTGGAATCTGCAAGTGGATATTTGTCTAGCTTTGAGGATTTCGTTGGAAACGGGATTACATATAAAAAGCAGACAGCAGCATTCTCAGAAACTTATTTGTGATGTGCGCCCTCAACTAACAGTGTTGAAGCTTTCTTTTGATAGAGCAGTTTTGAAACACTCTTTTTGTAATATCTGCAAGAGGATATTTGGATAGCTTTGAGGATTTCGTTGGAAACGGGATTAATTATACAAAGCAGACAGCAGCATTCTCAGAAGCTTCATTGGGATGTTTCAATTGAAGTCACAGTGTTGAACAGTTCCTTTCATAGAACAGGTTTGAAACACTCTTTTTGTAGTATCTGGAAGTGGACATTTGGAGCGCTCTCAGGACTATGGTGAAAAAGGAAATATCTTCCAATAAAAGCTAGATAGAAGCAATGTCAGAAACTTTTTCATGATGTATCTACTCAGCTAACAGAGTTGAACCTTTCCTTTGAGAGAGCAGTTTTGAAACACTCTTTTTGTGGAATCTGCAAGTGGATATTTGTCTAGCTTTGAGGATTTCGTTGGAAACGGGATTACATATAAAAAGCAGACAGCAGCATTCCCAGAATCTTGTTTGTGATGTTTGCATTCAAGTCACAGAGTTGAACATTCCCTTTCAGAGAGCAGGTTTGAAACACTCTTTTTATAGTATCTGGATGTGGACATTTGGAGCGCTTTCAGGCCTATGGTGAAAAAGGAAATATCTTCTCCTGAAAACTAGACAGAAGTAGTCTCAGAAACTTATTTGTGATGTGCGCCCTCAACTAACAGTGTTGAAGCTTTCTTTTGATAGAGCAGTTTTGAAACATTCTTTTTGTAAAATCTGCAAGAGGATATTTGGATAGCTTTGAGGATTTCGTTGGAAACGGGATTGTCTTCATATTAACCCTAGACAGTGGCATTCTCAGAAGCTTCATTGGGATGTTTCAATTGAAGTCACAGTGTTGAACAGTCCCTTTCATAGAGCAGGTTTGAAACACTCTTTTTGTAGTATCTGTATGTGGACATTTGGAGCGCTTTCAGGCCTATGGTGAAAAAGGAAATATCTTCCCCTGAAAACTAGACAGAAGCATTCTCAGAAACTTATTTGTGATGTGCGCCCTCAACTAACAGTGTTGAACCTTTCTTTTGATAGAGCAGTTTTGAAACACTCTTTTTGTGGAATCTGCAAGTGGATATTTGTCTAGCTTTGAGGATTTCGTTGGAAACGGGATTACATATAAAAAGCAGACAGCAGCATTCTCAGAAACTTATTTGTGATGTGCGCCCTCAACTAACAGTGTTGAAGCTTTCTTTTGATAGAGCAGTTTTGAAACACTCTTTTTGTAATATCTGCAAGAGGATATTTGGATAGCTTTGAGGATTTCGTTGGAAACGGGATTAATTATACAAAGCAGACAGCGAGCATTCTCAGAAGCTTCATTGGGATGTTTCAATTAAAGTCACAGTGTTGAACAGTCCCTTTCATAGAGCAGGTTTGAAACACTCTTTTTGTAGTATCTGGAAGTGGACATTTGGAGCGCTCTCAGGACTGCGGTGAAAAAGGAAATATCTTCCAATAAAAGCTAGATAGAGCAATGTCAGAAACTTTTTCATGATGTATCTACTCAGCTAACAGAGTTGAACCTTTTTTTTGAGAGAGCAGTTTTGAAACACTCTTTTTGTTGGATCTGCAGGTGGATATTTGTCTAGCTTTGAGGATTTCGTTGGAAACGGGATTACATATAAAAAGCAGACAGCAGCATTCCCAGAAACTTCTTTGTGATGTTTGCATTCAAGTCACAGAGTTGAACATTCCCTTTCATAGAGCAGGTTTGAAACACTCTTTTTGTAGTATCTGGATGTGGACATTTGGAGCGCTGTCAGGCCTATGGTGAAAAAGGAAATATCTTCCCCTGAAAACTAGACAGAAGCATTCTCAGAATCTTATTTGTGATGTGCGCCCTCAACTAACAGTGTTGAAGCTTTCTTTTGATAGAGCAGTTTTGAAACACACTTTTTGTAAAATCTGCAAGAGGATATTTGGATAGCTTTGAGGATTTCGTTGGAAACGGGATTGTCTTCATATAAACTCTAGACAGAAGCATTCTCAGAAGCCTCATTGGGATGTTTCAATTGAAGTCACAGTGTTGAACAGTCCCTTTCATAGAGCAGGTTTGAAACACTCTTTTTGTAGTATCTGGATGTGGACATTTGGAGCGCTTTCAGGCCTATGGTGAAAAAGGAAATATCTTCCTCTGAAAACTAGACAGAAGCATTCTCAGAAACTTATTTGTGATGTGCGCCCTCAACTAAGAGTGTTGAAGCATTCTTTTGATAGAGCAGTTTTGAAACACTCTTTTTGTGGAATCTGCAAGTGGATATTTGTCTAGCTTTGAGGATTTCGTTGGAAACGGGATTACATATAAAAAGCAGACAGCAGCATTCTCAGAATCTTATTTGTGTTGTGCGCCCTCAACTAACAGTGTTGAAGCTTTCTTTTGATAGAGCAGCTTTGAAACACTCTTTTTGTAAAATCTGCAAGAGGATATTTGGATAGCTTTGAGGATTTCGTTGGAAACGGGATTGTCTTCATATAAACTCTAGACAGAAGCATTCTCAGAAGCTTCATTGGGATGTTTCAATTGAAGTCACAGTGTTGAACAGTCCCTTTCATAGAGCAGGTTTGAAACACTCTTTTTGTAGTATCTGGAACTGGACATTTGGTGCGCTCTCAGGACTACGGTGAAAAAGGAAATATCTTCCAATAAAAGCTACATAGAAGCAATGTCAGAAACTTTTTCATGATGTATCTACTCAGCTAACAGAGTTGAACCTTTCTTTTGAGAGAGCAGTTTTGAAACACTCTTTTTGTGGAATCTGCAAGTGGATATTTGTCTAGCTTTGAGGATTTCGTTGGAAACGGGATTACATATAAAAAGCAGACAGCAGCATTCCCAGTAACTTCTTTGTGATGTTTGCATTCAAGTCACAGAGTTGAACATTCCCTTTCATACAGCAGGTTTGAAACACTCTTTTTGTAGTATCTGGATGTGGACATTTGGAGCGCTTTCAGGCCTATGGTAAAAAAGGAAATATCTTCCCCTGAAAACTAGACAGAAGCATTCTCAGAAACTTATTTGTGATGTGCGCCCTCAACTAACAGTGTTGAAGCTTTCTTTTGATAGAGCAGTTTTGAAACACTCTTTTTGTAATATCTGCAAGAGGATATTTGGATAGCTTTGAGGATTTCGTTGGAAACGGGATTGTCTTCATATAAACTCTAGACAGAAGCATTCTCAGAAGCTTCATTGGGATGTTTCAATTGAAGTCACAGTGTTGAACAGTCCCTTTCATAGAGCAGGTTTGAAACACTCTTTTTGTAGTATCTGGATGTGGACATTTGGAGCGCTTTCAGGCCTACGGTTTAAAAGGAAATATCTTCCCCTGAAAACTAGACAGAAGCATTCTCAGAAACTTATTTGTGATGTGCGCCCTCAACTAACAGTGTTGAAGCATTCTTTTGATAGAGCAGTTTTGAAACACTCTTTTTGTGGAATCTGCAAGTGGATATTTGTCTAGCTTTGAGGATTTCGTTGTTATCGGGATTACATATAAAAAGCAGACAGCAGCATTCCCAGAAACTTCTTTGTGATGTTTGCATTAAAGTCACAGAGTTGAACATTCCCTTTCATAGAGCAGGTTTGAAACACTCTTTTTGTAGTATCTGTATGTGGACATTTGGAGCGCTTTCAGGTCTATGGTGAAAAAGGAAATATCTTCCCCTGAAAACTAGACAGAAGCATTCTCAGAAGCTTCATTGGGATGTTTCAATTGAAGTCACAGTGTTGAACAGTCCCTTTCATAGAGCAGGTTTGAAACACTCTTTTTGTAGTATCTGGACGTGGACATTTGGAGCGCTCTCAGGACTACGGTGAAAAAGGAAATATCTTCCAATAAAAGCTAGATAGAAGCAATGTCAGAAACTTTTTCATGATGTATCTACTCAGCTAACAGAGTTGAACCTTTCTTTTGAGAGAGCAGTTTTGAAACACTCTTTTTGTGGAATCTGCAAGTGGATATTTGTCTAGCTTTGAGGATTTCGTTGGAAACGGGATTACATATAAAAAGCAGACAGCAGCATTCCCAGAAACTTCTTTGTGATGTTTGCATTCAAGTCACAGAGTTGAACATTCCCTTTCATAGAGCAGGTTTGAAACACTCTTTTTGTAGTATCTGTATGTGGACATTTGGAGCGCTTTCAGGCCTATGGTGAAAAAGGAAATATCTTCCCCTGAAAACTAGACAGAAGCATTCTCAGAATCTTATTTGTGATGTGCGCCCTCAACTAACAGTGTTGAAACTTTCTTTTGATAGAGCAGTTTTGAAACACTCTTTTTGTAAAATCTGCAAGAGGATATTTCGATAGCTTTGAGGATTTCATTGGAAACGGGATTGTCTTCATATAAACTCTAGACAGAAGCATTCTCAGAAGCTTCATTGGGATGTTTCAATTGAAGTCACAGTGTTGAACAGTCCCTTTCATAGAGCAGGTTTGAAACACTCTTTTTGTAGTATCTGGATGTGGACATTTGGAGCGCTTTCAGGCCTACGGTGAAAAAGGAAATATCTTCCCCTGAAAACTAGACAGAAGCATTCTCAGAATCTTATTTGTGATGTGCGCCCTCAACTAACAGTGTTGAAGCTTACTTTTGATAGAGCAGTTTTGAAACACTCTTTTTGTGGAATCTGCAAGTGGATATTTGTCTAGCTTTGAGGATTTCGTTGGAAACGGGATTACATATAAAAAGCAGACAGCAGCATTCTCAGAAACTTATTTGTGATGTGCGCCCTCAACTAACAGTGTTGAAGCTTTCTTTTGATAGAGCAGTTTTGAAACACTCTTTTTGTAATATCTGCAAGAGGATATTTGGATAGCTTTGAGGATTTCGTTGGAAACGGGATTAATTATACAAAGCAGACAGCAGCATTCTCAGAAGCTTCATTGGGATGTTTCAATTGAAGTCACAGTGTTGAACAGTCCCTTTCATAGAGCAGGTTTGAAACACTCTTTTTGTAGTATCTGGAAGTGGACATTTGGAGCGCTCTCAGGACTACGGTGAAAAAGGAAATATCTTCCAATAAAAGCTAGATAGAAGCAATGTCAGAAACTTTTTCATGATGTATCTACTCAGCTAACAGAGTTGAACCTTTCTTTTGAGAGAGCAGTTTTGAAACACTCTTTTTGTGGAATCTGCAAGTGTTTATTTGTCTAGCTTTGAGGATTTCGTTGGAAACGGGATTACATATAAAAAGCAGACAGCAGCATTCCCAGTAACTTCTTCGTGGTGTTTGCATTCAAGTCACAGAGTTGAACATTCCCTTTCATAGAGCAGGTTTGAAACACTCTTTTTGTAGTATCTGGATGTGGACATTTGGAGCGCTTTCAGGCCTATGGTGAAAAAGGAAATATCTTCCCCTGAAAACTAGACAGAAGCATTCTCAGAATCTTATTTGTGATGTGCGCCCTCAACTAACAGTGTTGAAGCTTTCTTTTGATAGAGCAGTTTTGAAACACTCTTTTTGTAAAATCTGCAAGAGGATATTTGGATAGCTTTGAGGATTTCGTTGGAAACGGGATTGTCTTCATATAAACTCTAGACAGAAGCATTCTCAGAAGCTTCATTGGGATGTTTCAATTGAAGTCACAGTGTTGAACAGTCCCTTTCATAGAGCAGGTTTGAAACACTCTTTTTGTAGTATCTGGAAGTGGACATTTGGAGAGATCTCAGGAATACGGTGATAAAGGAAATATCTTCCAATAAAAGCTAGATAGAAGCAATCTCAGAAACTTTTTCATGATGTATCTACTCAGCTAACAGAGTTGAACCTTTCTTTTGAGAGAGCAGTTTTGAAACACTCTTTTTGTGGAATATGCAAGTGGATATTTGTCTAGCTTTGAGGATTTCGTTGGAAACGGGATTACATATAAAAAGCAGACAGCAGCATTCCCAGAAACTTCTTTGTGATGTTTGCATTCAAGTCACAGAGTTGAACATTCCCTTTCATAGAGCAGGTTTGAAACACTCTTTTTGTAGTATCTCTATGTGGACATTTGGAGCGCTTTCAGGCCTATGGTGAAAAAGGAAATATCTTCCCCTGAAAACTAGACAGAAGAATTCTCAGAATCTTATTTGTGATGTGCGCCCTCAACTAACAGTGTTGAAGCTTTCTTTTGATAGAGCAGTTTTGAAACACTCTTTTTGTAAAATCTGCAAGAGGATATTTGGATAGCTTTGAGGATTTCGTTGGAAACGGGATTGTCTTCATATAAACTGTAGACAGAAGCATTCTCAGAAGCGTCATTGGGATGTTTCAATTGAAGTCACAGTGTTGAACAGTCCCTTTCATAGAGCAGGTTTGAAACACTCTTTTTGTAGTATCTGGATGTGGACATTTGGAGCGCTTTCAGGCCTATGGTTTAAAAGGAAATATCTTCCCCTGAAAACTAGACAGAAGCATTCTCAGAAACTTATTTGTGATGTGCGCCCTCAACTAACAGTGTTGAAGCATTCTTTTGATAGAGCAGTATTGAAACACTCTTTTTGTGGAATCTGCAAGTGGATATTTGTCTAGCTTTGAGGATTTCGTTGGAAAAGGTATTACATATAAAAAGCAGACAGCAGCATTCTCAGAAACTTATTTGTGATGTGCGCCCTCAACTAACAGTGTTGAAGCTTTCTTTTGATAGAGCAGTTTTGAAACACTCTTTTTGTAATATCTGCAAGAGGATATTTGGATAGCTTTGAGGATTTCGTTGGAAACGGGATTAATTATACAAAGCAGACAGCAGCATTCTCAGAAGCTTCATTCGGATGTTTCAATTGAAGTCACAGTGTTGAACAGTCCCTTTCATAGATCATGTTTGAAACACTCTTTTTGTAGTATCTGGAAGTTGACATTTGGAGCGTTTTCAGGACTACGGTGAAAAAGGAAATATCTTCCAAATAAAGCTAGATAGAAGCAATGTCAGAAACTTTTTCATGATGTATCTACTCAGCTAACAGAGTTGAACCTTTCTTTTGAGAGAGCAGTTTTGAAACACTCTTTTTGTGGAATCTGCAAGTGGATATTTGTCTAGCTTTGAGGATTTCGTTGGAAACGGGATTACATATACAAAGCAGACAGCAGCATTCCCAGAAACTTCTTTGTGATGTTTGCATTCAAGTCACAGAGTTGAACATTCCCTTTCATAGAGCAGGTTTGAAACACTCTTTTTGTAGTATCCGGATGTGGACATTTGGAGCGCTTTCAGGCCTATGGTGAAAAAGGAAATATCTTCCCCTGAAAACTAGACAGAAGAATTCTCAGAATCTTATTTGTGATGTGCGCCCTCAACTAACAGTGTTGAAGCTTTCTTTTGATAGAGCAGTTTTGAAACACTCTTTTTGTAAAATCTGCAAGAGGATATTTGGATAGCTTTGAGGATTTCGTTGGAAACGGGATTGTCTTCATATAAACTCTACACAGAAGCATTCTCAGAAGCTTCATTGGGATGTTTCAATTGAAGTCACAGTGTTGAACAGTCCCTTTCATAGAGCAGGTTTGAAACACTCTTTTTGTAGTATCTGGATGTGGACATTTGGAGCGCTTTCAGGCCTATGGTGAAAAAGGAAATATCTTCCCCTGAAAACTAGACAGAAGCATTCTCAGAAACTTATTTGTGATGTGCGCCCTCAACTAACAGTGTTGAAGCTTTCTTTTGATAGAGCAGTTTTGAAACACTCTTTTTGTAAAATCTGCAAGAGGATATTTGGATAGCTTTGAGGATTTCGTTGGAAACGGGATTGTCTTCATATAAACTCTAGACAGAAGCATTCTCAGAAGCTTCATTGGGATGTTTCAATTAAAGTCACAGTGTTGAACAGTCCCTTTCATAGAGCAGGTTTGAAACACTCTTTTTGTAGTATCTGGAACTGGACATTTGGAGAGATCTCAGGAATACGGTGATAAAGGAAATATCTTCCAATAAAAGCTAGATAGAAGCAATGTCAGAAACTTTTTCATGATGTATCTACTCAGCTAACAGAGTTGAACCTTTCTTTTGAGAGAGCAGTTTTGAAACACTCTTTTTGTGGAATCTGCAAGTGGATATTTGTCTAGCTTTGAGGATTTCGTTGGAAACGGGATTACATATAAAAAGCAGACAGCAGCATTCCCAGTAACTTCTTTGTGATGTTTCCATTCAAGTCACAGAGTTGAACATTCCCTTCCACAGAGCAGGTTTGAAACACTTTTTTTGTAGTATCTGGATGTGGACATTTGGAGCGCTTTCAGGCCTATGGTGAAAAAGGAAATATCTTCCAATAAAAGCTACATAGAAGCAATGTGAGAAACTTTTTCATGATGTATCTACTCAGCTAACAGAGTTGAACCTTTCTTTTGAGAGAGCAGTTTTGAAACACTCTTTTTGTGGAATCTGGAAGTGGATATTTGTCTAGCTTTGAGGATTTCGTTGGAAACGGGATTACATATAAAAAGCAGACAGCAGCATTCCCAGAAACTTCTTTGTGATGTTTGCATTCAAGTCACAGAGTTGAACATTCCCTTTCGTAGAGCAGGTTTGAAACACTCTTTTTATAGTATCTGGATGTGGACATTTGGAGCGCTTTCAGGCCTATGGTGAAAAAGGAAATATCTTCCCCTGAAAACTAGACAGAAGCATTCTCAGAATCTTATTTGTGATGTGCGCCCTCAACTAACAGTGTTGAAACTTTCTTTTGATAGAGCAGTTTTGAAACACTCTTTTCGTAAAATCTGCAAGAGGATATTTGGATAGCTTTGAGGATTTCGTTGGAAACGGGATTGTCTTCATATAAACTCTAGACAGAATCATTCTCAGAAGCTTCATTGGGATGTTTCAATTGAAGTCACAGTGTTGAACAGTCCCTTTCATAGAGCAGGTTTGAAACACTCTTTGTAGTATCTGGAAGTGGACATTTGGAGCGCTCTCAGGACTACGGTGAAAAAGGAAGTATCTTCCAATAAAAGCTAGATAGAAGCAATGTCAGAAACTTTTTCATGATGTATCTACTCAGCTAACAGAGTTGAACCTTTCTTTTGAGAGATCAGTTTTGAAACACTCTTTTTGTGGAATCTGCAAGTGGATATTTGTCTAGCTTTGTGGATTTCGTTGGAAACGGGATTACATATAAAAAGCAGACAGCAGCATTCCCAGAAAGTTCTTTGTGAAATTTGCATTCAAGTCACAGACTTGAACATTCCCTTTCATAGAGGAGGTTTGAAACACTCTTTTTGTAGTATCTGGATGTGGACATTTGGAGCGCTTTCAGGCCTATGGTGAAAAAGGAAATATCTTCCCCTGAAAACTAGACAGAAGCATTCTCAGAATCTTATTTGTGATGTGCGCCCTCAACTAACAGTGTTGAACCTTTCTTTTGATAGAGCAGTTTTGAAACACTCTTTTTGTAAAATCTGCAAGAGGATATTTGGATAGCTTTGAGGATTTCGTTGGAAACGGGATTGTCTTCATATAGAATCTAGACAGAAGCATTCTCAGAAGCTTCATTGGGATGTTTCAATTGAAGTCACAGTGTTGAACAGTCCCTTTCATAGAGCAGGTTTGAAACACTCTTTTTGTAGTATCTGGAAGTGGACATTTGGAGCGTTCTCAGGACTACGGTGAAAAAGGAAATATCTACCAATAAAAGCTAGATAGAAGCATTCTCAGAAACTTATTTGTGATGTGCGCCCTCAACTAACAGTGTTGAACCTTTCTTTTGATAGAGCAGTTTTGAAACACTCTTTTTGTAATATCTGCAAGAGGATATTTGGATAGCTTTGAGGATTTCGTTGGAAACGGGATTACATATAAAAAGCAGACAGCAGCATTCTCAGTAAACTTATTTGTGATGTGCGCCCTCAACTAACAGTGTTGAACCTTTCTTTTGATAGAGCAGTTTTGAAACACTCTTTTTGTAATATCTGCAAGAGGATATTTGGATAGCTTTGAGGATTTCGTTGGAAACGGGATTGTCTTCATATAAACTCTAGACAGAACCATTCTCAGAAGCTTCATTGGGATGTTTCAATTGAAGTCACAGTGTTGAACAGTCCCTTTCATAGAGCAGGTTTGAAACACTCTCTTTGTAGTATCTGGAAGTGGACATTTTGAGAGATCTCAGGAATACGGTGATAAAGGAAATATCTTCCAATAAAAGCTAGATAGAAGCAATGTCAGAAACTTTTTCAATGATGTATCTACTCAGCTAACAGAGTTGAACCTTCCTTTGAGAGAGCAGTTTTGAAACACTCTTTTTGTGGAATCTGCAAGTGGATATTTGTCTAGCTTTGAGGATTTCGTTGGAAACGGTATTACATATAAAAAGCAGACAGCAGCATTCCCGGAAACTTCTTTGAGATGTTTGCATTCAAGTCACACAGTTGAACATTCCCTTTCATAGAGCAGGTTTGAAACACTCTTTTTGTAGTATCTGTATGTGGACATTTGGAGCGCTTTCAGGCCTATGGTGAAAAAGGAAATATCTTCCCCTGAAAACTAGACAAAAGCATTCTCAGAAACTTATTTGTGATGTGCGCCCTCAACTAACAGTGTTGAACCTTTCTTTTGATAGAGCAGTTTTGAAACACTCTTTTTGTAATATCTGCAAGAGGATATTTGGATAGCTTTGAGGATTTCGTTGGAAACGGGATTGTCTTCATATAAACTCTAGACAGAAGCATTCTCAGAAGCTTCATTGGGATGTTTCAATTGAAGTCACAGTGTTGAACAGTTCCTTTCATAGAACAGGTTTGAAACACTCTTTTTGTAGTATCTGGAAGTGGACATTTGGAGCGCTCTCAGGACTATGGTGAAAAAGGAAATATCTTCCAATAAAAGCTACATAGAAGCAATGTCAGAAACTTTTTCATGATGTATCTACTCAGCTAACAGAGTTGAACCTTTCCTTTGAGAGAGCAGTTTTGAAACACTCTTTTTGTGGAATCTGCAAGTGGATATTTGTCTAGCTTTGAGGATTTCGTTGGAAACGGGATTACATATAAAAAGCAGACAGCAGCATTCCCAGAATCTTGTTTGTGATGTTTGCATTCAAGTCACAGAGTTGAACATTCCCTTTCACAGAGCAGGTTTGAAACACTCTTTTTATAGTATCTGGATGTGAACATTTGGAGCGCTTTCAGGCCTATGGTGAAAAAGGAAATATCTTCTCCTGAAAACTAGACAGAAGCATTCTCAGAATCTTATTTGTGATGTGCGCCCTCAACTAACAGTGTTGAAGCTTTCTTTTGATAGAGCAGTTTTGAAACACTCTTTTTGTAAAATCTGCAAGAGGATATTTGGATAGCTTTGAGGATTTCGTTGGAAACGGGATTGTCTTCATATAAACTCTAGACAGAAGCATTCTCAGAAGCTTCATTGGGATGTTTCAATTGAAGTCACAGTGTTGAACAGTCCCTTTCATAGAGCAGGTTTGAAACACTCTTTTTGTAGTATCTGGATGTGGACATTTGGAGCGCTTTTAGGCCTATGGTGAAAAAGGAAATATCTTCCCCTGAAAACTAGACAGAAGCATTCTCAGAAACTTATTTGTGATGTGCGCCCTCAACTAACAGTGTTGAAGCTTTCTTTTGATAGAGCAGTTTTGAAACACTCTTTTTGTGGAATCTGCAAGTGGATATTTGTCTAGCTTTGAGGATTTCGTTGGAAACGGGATTACATATAAAAAGCAGACAGCAGTAGTCTCAGAAACTTATTTGTGATGTGCGCCCTCAACTAACAGTGTTGAAACTTTCTTTTGATAGAGCAGTTTTGAAACACTCTTTTTGTAAAATCTGCAAGAGGATATTTGGATAGCTTTGAGGATTTCGTTTGAAACGGGATTGTCTTCATATAAAATCTAGACAGAAGCATTCTCAGAAGCTTCATTGGGATGATTCAATTGAAGTCACAGTGTTGAACAGTCCCTTTCATAGAGCATGTTTGAAACACTCTTTTTGTAGTATCTGGAAGTTGACATTTGGAGCGTTTTCAGGACTATGGTGAAAAAGGAAATATACTTCCAAATAAAGCTAGATAGAAGCAATGTCAGAAACTTTTTCATGATGTATCTACTCAGCTAAAAGAGTTGAACCTTTCTTTTGTGAGAGCAGTTTTGAAACACTATTTTTGTGGAATCTGCAAGTGGATATTTGTCTAGGTTTGAGGATTTCGTTGGAAACGGGATTACATATAAAAAGCAGACAGCAGCATTCCCAGAAACTTCTTTGTGATATTTGCATTGAAGTCACAGACTTGAACAGTCCGTTTCATAGAGCAGGTTTGAAACACTCTTTTTGTAGTATCTGGATGTGGACATTTGGAGCGCTTTCAGGCCTATGGTGAAAAAGGAAATATCTTCCCCTGAAAACTAGACAGAAGCATTCTCAGAAACTTATTTGTGATGTGCGCCCTCAACTAACAGTGTTGAAGCTTTCTTTTGATAGAGCAGTTTTGAAACACTCTTTTTGTAATATCTGCAAGAGGATATTTGGATAGCTTTGAGGATTTCGTTGGAAACGGGATTGTCTTCATATAAACTCTAGACAGAAGCATTCTCAGAAGCGTCATTGGGATGTTTCAATTGAAGTCACAGTGTTGAACAGTCCCTTTCATAGAGCAGGTTTGAAACACTCTTTTTGTAGTATCTGGATGTGGACATTTGGAGCGCTTTCAGGCCTATGGTTTAAAAGGAAATATCTTCCCCTGAAAACTAGACAGAAGCATTCTCAGAAACTTATTTGTGATGTGCTCCCTCAACTAACAGTGTTGAAGCTTTCTTTTGATAGAGCAGTTTTGAAACACTCTTTTTGTGGAATCTGCAAGTGGATATTTGTCTAGCTTTGAGAATTTCGTTTGAAACGGGATTACATATAAAAAGCAGACAGCAGAATTCTCAGAATCTTATTTGTGATGTGCGCCCTCAACTAACAGTCTTGAAGCTTTCTTTTGATAGAGCAGTTTTGAAACACTCTTTTTTTAAAATCTGCAAGAGGATATTTGGATAGCTTTGAGGATTTCGTTGGAAACGGGATTGTCTTCATATAAACTCTAGACAGAAGCATTCTCAGAAGCTTCATTGGGATGTTTCAATTGAAGTCACAGTGTTGAACAGTCCCTTTCATAGAGCAGGTTTGAAACACTCTTTTTGTAGTATCTGGAAGTGGACATTTGGAGAGATCTCAGGAATACGGTGATAAAGGAAATATCTTCCAATAAAAGCTAGATAGAAGCAATGTCAGAAACTTTTTCATGATGTATCTACTCAGCTAACAGAGTTGAACCTTTCTTTTGAGAGAGCAGTTTTGAAACACTCTTTTTGTGGAATCTGCAAGTGGATATTTGTCTAGCTTTGAGGATTTCGTTGGAAACGTGATTACATATAAAAAGCAGACAGCAGCATTCCCAGTAACTTCTTTGTGATGTTTGCATTCAAGTCACAGAGTTGAACATTCCCTTTCATAGAGCAGTTTTGAAACACTCTTTTTGTAGTATCTGGATGTGGACATTTGGAGCGCTTTCAGGCCTATGGTGAAAAAGGAAATATCTTCCCCTGAAAACTAGACAGAAGCATTCTCAGAAACTTATTTGTGATGTGCGCCCTCAACTAACAGTGTTAAACCTTTCTTTTGATAGAGTAGTTTTGAAACACTCTTTTTGTAAAATCTGCAAGAGGATATTTGGATAGCTTTGAGGATTTCGTTGGAAACGGGATTGTCTTCATATAAAATCTAGACAGAAGCATTCTCAGAAGCTTCATTGGGATGTTTCAATTGAAGTCACAGTGTTGAACAGTCCCTTTCATAGAGCAGGTTTGAAACACTCTTTTTGTAGTATCTGGATGTGGACATTTCGAGCGCTTTCAGGCCTATGGTGAAAAAGGAAATATCTTCCCCTGAAAACTAGACAGAAGCATTCTCAGAAACTTATTTGTGATGTGCGCCCTCAACTAACAGTGTTGAAGCTTTCTTTTGATAGAGCAGTTTTGAAACACTCTTTTTGTGGAATCTGCAAGTGGATATTTGTCTAGCTTTGAGGATTTCGTTGGAAACGGGATTACATATAAAAAGCAGACAGCAGCATTCTCAGTAAACTTATTTGTGATGTGCGCCCTCAACTAACAGTGTTGAACCTTTCTTTTGATAGAGCAGTTTTGAAACACTCTTTTTGTAATATCTGCAAGAGGATATTTGGATAGCTTTGAGGATTTCGTTGGAAACGGGATTGTCTTCATATAAACTCTAGACAGAAGCATTCTCAGAAGCTTCATTGGGATGTTTCAATTGAAGTCACAGGGTTGAACAGTTCCTTTCATAGAACAGGTTTGAAACACTCTTTTTGTAGTATCTGGAAGTGGACATTTGGAGCGCTCTCAGGACTATGGTGAAAAAGGAAATATCTTCCAATAAAAGCTACATAGAAGCAATGTCAGAAACTTTTTCATGATGTATCTACTCAGCTAACAGAGTTGAACCTTTCTTTTGAGAGAGCAGTTTTGAAACACTCTTTTTGTGGAATCTGGAAGTGGATATTTGTCTAGCTTTGAGGATTTCGTTGGAAACGGGATTACATATAAAAAGCAAACAGCAGCATTCCCAGTAAACTTCGTTGTGATGTTTGCATTCAAGTCACAGAGTTGAAAATTCCCTTTCATAGAGCAGGTTTGAAACACTCTTTTTGTAGTATCTGGATGTGGACATTTGGAGCGCTTTCAAGCCTATGGTGAAAAAGGAAATATCTTCCCCTGAAAACTAGACAGAAGCATTCTCAGAAACTTATTTGTGATGTGCGCCCTCAACTAACAGTGTTGAACTTTTCTTTTGATAGAGCAGTTTTGAAACACTCTTTTTGTAAAATCTGCAAGAGGATATTTGGATAGATTTGAGGATTTCGTTGGAAACGGGATTGTCTTCATATAAAATCTAGACAGAAGCATTCTCAGAAGCTTCATTGGGATGTTTCAATTGAAGTTACAGTGTTGAACAGTCCCTTTCATAGAGCAGGTTTGAAACACTCTTTTTGTAGTATCTGGATGTGGACATTTGGAGCGCTTTCAGGCCTATGGTTTAAAAGGAAATATCTTCCCCTGAAAACTAGACAGAAGCATTCTCAGAAACTTATTTGTGATGTGCGCCCTCAACTAACAGTGTTGAAGCTTTCTTTTGATAGAGCAGTTTTGAAACACTCTTTTTGTAATATCTGCAAGAGGATATTTGGATAGCTTTGAGGATTTCGTTGGAAACGGGATTAATTATAAAAAGCAGACAGCAGCATTCTCAGAAACTTATTTGTGATGTGCGCCCTCAACTAACAGTGTTGAAGCTTTCTTTTGATAGAGCAGTTTTGAAACACTCTTTTTGTAATATCTGCAAGAGGATATTTGGATAGCTTTGAGGATTTCGTTGGAAACGGGATTAATTATACAAAGCAGACAGCAGCATTCTCAGAAGCTTCATTGGGATGTTTCAATTGAAGTCACAGTGTTGAACAGTCCCTTTCATAGAGCAGGTTTGAAACACTCTTTTTGTAGTATCTGGAAATGGACATTTGGAGAGATCTCAGGACTACGGTGAAAAAGGAAATACCTTCCAATAAAAGCTAGATAGAAGCAATGTCAGGAAACATTTTCATGATGTATCTACTCAGCTAACAGAGTTGAACCTTTCTTTTGAGAGAGCAGTTTTGAAACACTCTTTTTGTGGAATCTGCAAGTGGATATTTGTCTAGCTTTGAGGATTTCGTTGGAAACGGGATTACATATAAAAAGCAGACAGCAGCATTCCCAGAAACTTCTGTGTGATGTTTGCATTCAAGTCACAGACTTGAACATTCCCTTTCATAGAGCAGGTTTGAAACACTCTTTTTGTAGTATCTGGATGTGGACATTTGGAGCGCTTTCAGGCCTATGGTGAAAAAGGAAATATCTTCCCCTGAAAACTAGACAGAAGCATTCTCAGAAACTTAATTGTGATGTGCGCCCTCAACTAACAGTCTTGAAGCTTTCTTTTGATAGAGCAGTTTTGAAACACTCTTTTTGTAATATCTGCAAGAGGATATTTGGATAGCTTTGAGGATTTCGTTGGAAACGGGATTGTCTTCATATAAACTCTAGACAGAAGTATTCTCAGAAAGCTTCATTGGGATGTTTCAATTGAAGTCACAGTGTTGAACAGTCCCTTTCATAGAGCAGGTTTGAAACACTCTTTTTGTAGTATCCGGATGTGGACATTTGGAGCGCTTTCAGGCCTATGGTGAAAAAGGAAATATCTTCCCCTGAAAACTAGACAGAAGCATTCTCAGAAACTTATTTGTGATGTGTGCCCTCAACTAACAGTGTTGAAGCTTTCTTTTGATAGAGCAGTTTTGAAACACTCTTTTTGTAATATCTGCAAGAGGATATTTGGATAGCTTTGAGGATTTCGTTGGAAACGGGATTAATTATACAAAGCAGACAGCAGCATTCTCAGTAAACTTATTTGTGATGTGCGCCCTCAACTAACAGTGTTGAACCTTTCTTTTGATAGAGCAGTTTTGAAACACTCTTTTTGTAATATCTGCAAGAGGATATTTGGATAGCTTTGAGGATTTCGTTGGAAACGGGATTGTCTTCATATAAACTCTAGACAGAAGCATTCTCAGGAAGCTTCATTGGGATGTTTCAATTGAAGTCACAGTGTTGAACAGTCCCTTTCATAGAGCAGGTTTGAAACACTCTTTTTGTAGTATCTGGAAGTGGACATTTGGAGCGCTCTCAGGACTGCGGTGAAAAAGGAAATATCTTCCAATAAAAGCTAGATAGAAGCAATGTCAGAAACTTTTTCATGATGTATCTGCTCAGCTAACAGGGTTGAACCTTTCTTTTGAGAGAGCAGTTTTGAAACACTCTTTTTGTGGAATCTGCAAGTGGATATTTGTCTAGCTTTGAGGATTTCGTTGGAAACGGGATTACATATAAAAAGCAGACAGCAGCATTCCCAGAATCTTGTTTGTGATGTTTGCATTCAAGTCACAGAGTTGAACATTCCCTTTCATAGAGCAGGTTTGAAACACTCTTTTTGTAGTATCTGGATGTGGACATTTGGAGCGCTTTCAGGCCTATGGTGAAAAAGGAAATATCTTCCCCTGAAAACTAGACAGAAAGCATTCTCAGAAACTTATTTGTGATGTGCGCCCTCAACTAACAGTGTTGAAGCTTTCTTTTGATAGAGCAGTTTTGAAACACTCTTTTTGTAATATCTGCAAGAGGATATTTGGACAGCTTTGAGGATTTCGTTGGAAACGGGATTGTCTTCATATAAACTCTAGACAGAAACATTCTCAGAAGCGTCATTGGGATGTTTCAATTGAAGTCACAGTGTTGAACAGTCCCTTTCATAGAGCAGGTTTGAAACACTCTTTTTGTAGTATCTGGATGTGGACATTTGGAGCGCTTTCAGGCCTATGGTTTAAAAGGAAATATCTTCCCCTGAAAACTAGACAGAAGCATTCTCAGAAACTTATTTGTGATGTGCGCCTTCAACTAACAGTGTTGAAGCATCCTTTTGATAGAGCAGTTTTGAAACACTCTTTTTGTGGAATCTGCAAGTGGATGGATATTTGTCTAGCTTTGAGGATTTCGTTGGAAACGGGATTACATATAAAAAGCAGACAGCAGCATTCCCAGAAACTTCTTTGTGATGTTTGCATTCAAGTCACAGAGTTGAACATTCCCTTTCAGAGAGCAGGTTTGAAACACTCTTTTTGTAGTATCTGGATGTGGACATTTGGAGCGCTTTCAGGCCTATGGTGAAAAAGGAAATATCTTCCCCTGAAAACTAGACAGAAGCATTCTCAGAATCTTATTTGTGATGTGCGCCCTCAACTAACAGAGTTGAAGCTTTCTTTTGATAGAGCAGTTTTGAAACACTCTTTTTGTAAAATCTGCAAGAGGATATTTGGATAGCTTTGAGGATTTCGTTGGAAACGGGATTGTCTTCATATAAACTCTAGACAGAAGCATTCTCAGAAGCTTCATTGGGATGTTTCAATTGAAGTCACAGTGTTGAACAGTCCCTTTCATAGAGCAGGTTTGAAACACTCTTTTTGTAGTATCTGGAAGTGGACATTTGGAGAGATCTCAGGACTACGGTGAAAAAGGAAATATCTTCCAATAAAAGCTAGATAGAAGCAATGTCAGAAACTTTTTCATGATGTGTCTACTCAGCTAACAGAGTTGAACCTTTCTTTTGAGAGAGCAGTTTTGAAACACTCTTTTTGTGGAATCTGCAAGTGGATATTTGTCTAGCTTTGAGGATTTCGTTGGAAACGGGATTACATATAAAAAGCAGACAGCAGCATTCCCAGAAACTTCTTTGTGATGTTTGCATTCAAGTCACAGAGTTGAACATTCCCTTTCATAGAGCAGGTTTGAAACACTCTTTTTGTAGTATCTGGATGTGGACATTTGGAGCGCTTTCAGGCCAATGGTGAAAAAGGAAATATCTTCCCCTGAAAACTAGACAGAAGCATTCTCAGAATTTTATTTGTGATGTGCGCCCTCAACTAACAGTGTTGAAGCTTTCTTTTGATAGAGCAGGTTTGAAACACTCTTTTTGTAAAATCTGCTAGAGGATATTTGGATAGCTTTGAGGATTTCTTTGGAAACGGGATTGTCTTCATATAAACTCTAGACAGAAGCATTCTCAGAAGCTTCATTGGGATGTTTCAATTGAAGTTACAGTGTTGAACAGTCTCTTTCATAGAGCAGGTTTGAAACACTCTTTTTGTAGTATCTGGATGTGGACATTTGGAGCGCTTTCAGGCCTATGGTTTAAAAGGAAATATCTTCCCCTGAAAACTAGACAGAAGCATTCTCAGAATCTTATTTGTGATGTGCCCCCTCAACTAACAGTGTTGAAGCATTCTTTTGATAGAGCAGTTTTGAAACACTCTTTTTGTGGAATCTGCAAGTGGATATTTGTCTAGCTTTGAGGATTTCGTTGGAAACGGGATTACATATAAAAAGCAGACAGCAGCATTCTCAGAAACTTATTTGTGATGTGCGCCCTCAACTAACAGTGTTGAAGCTTTATTTTGATAGAGCAGTTTTGAAACACTCTTTTTGTAATATCTGCAAGAGAATATTTGGATAGCTTTGAGGATTTCGTTGGAAACGGGATTGTCTTCATATAAACTCTAGAAAGAAGCATTCTCAGAAGCTTCATTGGGATGTTTCAATTGAAGTCACAGTGTTGAACAGTCCCTTTCATAGAGCAGGTTTGAAACACTCTTTTTGTAGTATCTGGAAGTGGACATTTGGAGCACTCTCAGGACTATGGTGAAAAAGGTAATATCTTCCAATAAAAGCTAGATAGAAGCAATGTCAGAAACTTTTTCATGATGTATCTACTCAGCTAACAGAGTTGAACCTTTCTTTTGAGGCAGCAGTTTTGAAACACTCTTTTTGTGGAATCTGCAAGTGGATATTTGTCTAGCTTTGAGGACTTCGTTGGAAACGGGATTACATAAGAAAAGCAGACAGCAGCATTCCCAGAAACTTCTTTGTGATGTTTGCATTCAAGTCACAGAGTTGAACATTCCCTTTCATAGAGCAGGTTTGAAACACTCTTTTTGTAGTATCTGGATGTGGACATTTGGAGCGCTTTCAGGCCTATGCTGAAAAAGGAAATATCTTCCCCTGAAAACTAGACAGAAGCATTCTCAGAATCTTATCTGTGATGTGCGCCCTCAACTAACAGTGTTGAAGCTTTCTTTTGATAGAGCAGTTTTGAAACACTCTTTTCGTAAAATCTGCAAGAGGATATTTTGATAGCTTTGAGGATTTCGTTGGAAACGGGATTGTCTTCATATAAACTCTAGACAGAAGCATTCTCAGAAGCTTCATTGGGATGTTTCAATTGAAGTCACAGTGTTGAACAGTCCCTTTCATAGAACAGGTTTCAAACACTCTTTTTGTAGTATCTGGATGTGGACATTTGGAGCGCTTTCAGGCCTATGGTTTAAAAGGAAATATCTTCCACTGAAAACTAGACAGAAGCATTCTCAGAAACTTATTTGTGATGTGCGCCCTCAACTAACAGTGTTGAAGCATTCTTTTGATAGAGCAGTTTTGAAACACTCTTTTTGTGGAATCTGCAAGTGGATATTTGTCTAGCTTTGAGGATTTCGTTGGAAACGGGATTACATATAAAAAGCAGACAGCAGCATTCTCAGAAACTTATTTGTGATGTGCGCCCTCAACTAACAGTGTTGAAGCTTTATTTTGATAGAGCAGTTTTGAAACACTCTTTTTGTAATATCTGCAAGAGAATATTTGGATAGCTTTGAGGATTTCGTTGGAAACGGGATTGTCTTCATATAAACTCTAGAAAGAAGCATTCTCAGAAGCTTCATTGGGATGTTTCAATTGAAGTCACAGTGTTGAACAGTCCCTTTCATAGAGCAGGTTTGAAACACTCTTTTTGTAGTATCTGGAAGTGGACATTTGGAACGCTCTCAGGACTGCGGTGAAAAAGGAAATATCTTCCAATAAAAGCTAGATAGAAGCAATGTCAGAAACTTTTTCATGATGTATCTACTCAGCTAACAGAGTTGAACCTTTCCTTTCAGAGAGCAGTTTTGAAACACTCTTTTTGTGGAATCTGCAAGTGGATATTTGTCTAGCTTTGAGGATTTCGTTGGAAACGGGATTACATATAAAAAGCAGACAGCAGCATTCCCAGAAACTTCTTTGTGATGTTTGCATTCAAGTCACAGAGTTGAACATTCCCTTTCATAGAGCAGGTTGGAAACACTCTTTTTGTAGTATCTGGATGTGGACATTTGGAGCGCTTTCAGGCCTATGGTGACAAAGGAAATATCTTCCCCTGAAAACTAGACAGAAGCATTCTCAGAATCTTATTTGTGATGTGCACCCTCAACTAACAGTGTTGAACCTTTCTTTTGATAGAGCAGTTTTGAAACACTCTTTTTGTAAAATCTGCAAGAGGATATTTGGATAGCTTTGAGGATTTCGTTGGAAACGGGATTGTCTTCATATAAACTCTAGACAGAAGCATTCTCAGAAGCTTCATTGGGATGTTTCAATTGAAGTCACAGTGTTGAACAGTCCCTTTCATAGAGCAGGTTTGAAACACTCTTTTTGTAGTATCTGGAAGTGGACATTTGGAGAGATCTCAGGAATACGGTGAAAAAGGAAATATCTTCTCCTGAAAACTAGACAGAAGCATTCTCAGAAACTTATTTGTGATGTGCGCCCTCAACTAACAGTGTTGAAGCTTTCTTTTGATAGAGCAGTTTTGAAAAACTCTTTTTGTGGAATCTGCAAGTGGATATTTGTCTAGCTTTGAGGATTTCGTTGGAAACGGGATTACATATAAAAAGCAGACAGCAGCATTCCCAGAATCTTGTTTGTGATGTTTGCATTCAAGTCACAGAGTTGAACATTCCCTTTCAGAGAGCAGGTTTGAAACACTCTTTTTGTAGTATCTGGATGTGGACATTTGGAGCGCTTTCAGGCCTATGGTGAAAAAGGAAATATCTTCTCCTGAAAACTAGACAGAAGCATTCTCAGAAACTTATTTGTGATGTGCGCCCTCAACTAATAGTGTTGAACCTTTCTTTTGATAGAGCAGTTTTGAAACACTCTTTTTGTAATATCTGCAAGAGGATATTTGGATAGCTTTGAGGATTTCGTTGGAAACGGGATTGTCTTCATATAAACTCTAGACAGAAGCATTCTCAGAAGCTTCATTGGGATGTTTCAATTGAAGTCACAGTGTTGAACAGTCCCTTTCATAGAGCAGGTTTGAAACACTCTTTTTGTAGTATCTGGATGTGGTCATTTGGAGCGCTTTCAGGCCTATGGTGAAAAAGGAAATATCTTCCCCTGAAAACTAGACAGAAGCATTCTCAGAAACTTATTTGTGATGTGCGCCCTCAACTAACAGTGTTGAAGCATTCTTTTGATAGAGTAGTTTTGAAACACTCTTTTTGTGGAATCTGCAAGTGGATATTTGTCTAGCTTTGAGGATTTCGTTGGAAACGGGATTAATTATAAAAAGCAGACAGCAGCATTCTCAGTAAACTTATTTGTGATGTGCGCCCTCAACTAACAGTGTTGAACCTTTCTTTTGATAGAGCAGTTTTGAAACACTCTTTTTGTAATATCTGCAAGAGGATATTTGGATAGCTTTGAGGATTTCGTTGGAAACGGGATTGTCTTCATATAAACTCTAGACAGAAGCATTCTCAGAAGCTTCATTGGGATGTTTCAATTGAAGTCACAGTGTTGGACAGTCCCTTTCATAGAGCAGGTTTGAAACACTCTTTTTGTAGTATCTGGAAGTGGACATTTGGAGCGATCTCAGGACTACGGTGAAAAAGGAAATATCTTCCAATAAAAGCTACATAGAAGCAATGTCAGAAACTTTTTCATGATGTATCTACTCAGCTAACAGAGTTGAACGTTTCTTTTGAGAGAGCAGTTTTGAAACACTCTTTTTGTGGAATCTGGAAGTGGATATTTGTCTAGCTTTGAGGATTTCGTTGGAAACGGGATTACATATAAAAAGCAGACAGCAGCATTCCCAGAATCTTCTTTGTGATGTTTGCATTCAAGTCACAGAGTTGAACATTCCCTTTCATAGAGCAGGTTTGAAACACTCTTTTTGTAGTATCTGGATGTGGACATTTGGACCGCTTTCAGGCCTATGGTGAAAAAGGAAATATCTTCCCCTGAAAACTAGACAGAAGCATTCTCAGAATCTTATTTGTGATGTGCGCCCTCAACTAACAGTGTTGAAGCTTTCTTTTGATAGAGCAGTTTTGAAACACTCTTTTTGTAAAATCTGCAAGAGGATATTTGGATAGCTTTGAGGATTTCGTTGGAAACGGTATTTTCTTCATATAAACTCTAGACAGAAGCATTCTCAGAAGCGTCATTGGGATGTTTCAATTGAAGTCACAGTGTTGAACAGTCCCTTTCATAGAGCAGGTTTGAAACACTCTTTTTGTAGTATCTGGATGTGGACATTTGGAGCGCTTTCAGCCCTATGGTGAAAAAGGAAATATCTTCCCCTGAAAACTAGACAGAAGCATTCTCAGAAACTTATTTGTGATGTGCGCCCTCAACTAACAGTGTTGAAGCATTCTTTTGATAGAGCAGTTTTGAAACACTCTTTTTGTGGAATCTGCAAGTGGATATTTGTCTAGCTTTGAGGATTTCGTTGGAAACGGGATTACATATAAAAAGCAGACAGCAGCATTCTCAGTAAACTTATTTGTGATGTGCGCCCTCAACTAACAGTGTTGAACCTTTCTTTTGATAGAGCAGTTTTGAAACACTCTTTTTGTAATATCTGCAAGAGGATATTTGGATAGCTTTGAGGATTTCGTTGGAAACGGGATTGTCTTCATATAAACTCTAGACAGAAGCATTCTCAGAAGCTTCATTGGGATGTTTCAATTGAAGTCACAGTGTTGAACAGTCCCTTTCATAGAGCAGGTTTGAAACACTCTTTTTGTAGTATCTGGAAGTGGACATTTGGAGCGCTCTCAGGACTCCGGTGATAAAGGAAATATCTTCCAATAAAAGCTAGATAGAAGCAATGTCAGAAACTTTTTCATGATGTATCTACTCAGCTAACAGAGTTGAACCTTTCTTTTGAGAGAGCAGTTTTGAAACACTCTTTTTGTGGAATCTGCAAGTGGATATTTGTCTAGCTTTGAGGATTTCGTTGGAAACGGGATTACATATAAAAAGCAGACAGCAGCATTCCCAGAAACTTCTTTGTGATGTTTGCATTCAAGTCACAGAGTTGAACATTCCCTTTCATAGAGCAGGTTTGAAACCACTCCTTTTGTAGTATCTGGATGTGGACATTTGGAGCGCTTTCAGGCCTATGGTGAAAAAGGAAATATCTTCCCCTGAAAACTAGACAGAAGCATTCTCAGAATCTTATTTGTGATGTGCGCCCTCAACTAACAGTGTTGAACCGTTCTTTTGATAGAGCAGTTTTGAAACACTCTTTTTGTAAAATCTGCAAGAGGATATTTGGATAGCTTTGAGGATTTCGTTGGAAACGGGATTGTCTTCATATAGAATCTAGACAGAAGCATTCTCAGATGCTTCATTGGGATGTTTCAATTGAAGTCACAGTGTTGAACAGTCCCTTTCATAGAGCAGGTTTGAAACACTCTTTTTGTAGTATCTGGATGTGGACATTTGGAGCGCTTTCAGGCCTATGGTGAAAAAGGAAATATCTTCCCCTGAAAACTAGACAGAAGCATTCTCAGAAACTTATTTGTGATGTGCGCCCTCAACTAACAGTGTTGAAGCTTTCTTTTGATAGAGCAGTTTTGAAACACTCTTTTTGTGGAATCTGCAAGTGGATGTTTGTCTAGCTTTGAGGATTTCGTTGGAAACCGGATTACATATAAAAAGCAGACAGCAGCATTCTCAGAAACTTATTTGTGATGTGCGCCCTCAACTAACAGTGTTGAACCTTTCTTTTGATAGAGCAGTTTTGAAAAACTCTTTTTCTAATATCTGCAAGAGGATATTTGGATAGCTTTGAGGATTTCGTTGGAAACGGGATTGTCTTCATATAAACTCTAGACAGAAGCATTCTCAGAAGCTTCATTGGGATGTTTCAATTGAAGTCACAGTGTTGAACAGTTCCTTTCGTAGAACAGGTTTGAAACACTCTTTTGGTAGTATCTGGAAGTGGACATTTGGAGCGCTCTCAGGACTACGGTGAAAAAGGAAATATCTTCCAATAAAAGCTACATAGAAGCAATGTCAGAAACTTTTTCATGATGTATCTACTCAGCTAACAGAGTTGAACCTTCCTTTGAGAGAGCAGTTTTGAAACACTCTTTTTGTGGAATCTGCAAGTGGATATTTGTCTAGCTTTGAGGATTCCGTTGGAAACGGGATTACATATAAAAAGTAGACAGCAGCATTCCCAGAAACTTCTTTGTGATGTTTGCATTCAAGTCACAGAGTTGAACATTCCCTTTCATAGAGCAGGTTTGAAACACTCTTTTTGTAGTATCTGGATGTGGACATTTGGAGCGCTTTCAGGCCTATGGTGAAAAAGGAAATATCTTCCCCTGAAAACTAGACAGAAGCATTGTCAGAAACTTATTTGTCATGTGCGCCCTCAACTAACAGTGTTAAAGCTCTCTTTTGATAGAGTAGTTTTGAAACACTCTTTTTGTAAAATCTGCAAGAGGATATTTGGATAGCTTTGAGGATTTCGTTGGAAACGGGATTGTCTTCATATAAACTCTAGACAGTAGCATTCTCAGAAGCGTCATTGGGATGTTTCAATTGAAGTCACAGTGTTGAACAGTCCCTTTCATAGAGCAGGTTTGAAACACTCTTTTTGTAGTATCTGGATGTGGACATTTGGAGCGCTTTCAGGCCTATGGTTTAAAAGGAAATATCTTCCCTTGAAAACTAGACAGAAGCATTCTCAGAAACTTATTTCTGATGTGCGCCCTCAACTAACAGTGTTGAAGCATTCTTTTGATAGAGCAGTTTTGAAACACTCTTTTTGTGGAATCTGTAAGTGGATATTTGTCTAGCTTTGAGGATTTCGTTGGAAACGGGATTACATATAAAAAGCAGACAGCAGCATTCTCAGAAACTTTTTTGTGATGCGAGCCCTCAACTAACAGTGTTGAAGCTTTCTTTTGATAGAGCAGTTTTGAAACACTCTTTTTGTAAAATCTGCAAGAGGATATTTGGATAGCATTGAGGATTTCGGTGGAAATGGGATTGTCTTCATATAAATTCTAGACAGTAGCATTCTCAGAAGCTTCATTGGGATGTTTCAATTGAAGTCACAGTGTTGAACATTCCCTTTCATAGAGCAGGTTTGAAACACTCTTTTTGTAGTATCTGGAAGTGGACATTTGGAGCGCTCTCAGGACTACGGTGAAAAAGGAAATATCTTCCAATAAAAGCTAGATAGAAGCAATGTCGGAAACTTTTTCATGATGTATCTACTCAGCTAAGAGAGTTGAACATTTTTTTTGAGAGAGCAGTTTTGAAACACTCTTTTTGTGGAATCTGCAGGTGGATATTTGTCTAGCTTTCAGGATTTCGTTGGAAACGGGATTACATATAAAAAGCAGACAGCAGCAATCCCAGTAACTTCTTTGTGATGTTTGCATTCAAGTCACAGAGTTGAACATTCCCTTTCATAGAGCAGGTTTGAAACACTCTTTTTGTAGTATCTGGATGTGGACATTTGGAGCGCTTTCAGGCCTATGGTGAAAAAGGAAATATCTTCCCCTGAAAACTAGACAGAAGCATTATCAGAAACTTATTTGTGATGTGCGCCCTCAACTAGCAGTGTTGAAGCTTTCTTTTGATAGAGCAGTTTTGAAACACTCTTTTTGTAATATCTGCAAGAGGATATTTGGATAGCTTTGAGGATTTCGTTGGAAACGGGATTGTCTTCATATAAACTCTAGACAGAAGCATTCTCAGAAGCTTCATTGGGATGTTTCAATTGAAGTCACAGTGTTGAACAGTCCCTTTCATAGAGCAGGTTTGAAACACTCTTTTTGTAGTATCTGGATGTGGACATTTCGAGCGCTTTCAGGCCTATGGTGAAAAAGGAAATATCTTCCCCTGAAAACTAGACAGAAGCATTCTCAGAAACTTATTTGTGATGTGCGCCCTCAACTAACAGTGTTGAAGCTTTCTTTTGATAGAGCAGTTTTGAAACACTCTTTTTGTGGAATCTGCAAGTGGATATTTGTCTAGCTTTGAGGATTTCGTTGGAAACGGGATTACATATAAAAAGCAGACAGCAGCATTCTCAGTAAACTTATTTGTGATGTGCGCCCTCAACTAACAGTGTTGAACCTTTCTTTTGATAGAGCAGTTTTGAAACACTCTTTTTGTAATATCTGCAAGAGGATATTTGGATAGCTTTGAGGATTTCGTTGGAAACGGGATTGTCTTCATATAAACTCTAGACAGAAGCATTCTCAGAAGCTTCATTGGGATGTTTCAATTGAAGTCACAGTGTTGAACAGTCCCTTTCATAGAGCAGGTTTGAAACAGTCTTTTTGTAGTATCTGGAAGTGGACATTTGGAGCGCTCTCATGACTATGGTGAAAAAGGAAATATCTTCCAATAAAAGCTACATAGAAGCAATGTCAGAAACTTTTTCATGATGTATCTACTCAGCTAACAGAGTTGAACCTTTCCTTTGAGAGAGCAGTTTTGAAACTCTCTTTTTGTGGAATCTGCAAGTGGATATTTGTCTAGCTTTGAGGATTTCGTTGGAAACGGGATTACATATAAAAAGCAGACAGCAGCATTCCCAGTAACTTCTTTGTGATGTTTGCATTCAAGTCACAGAGTTGAACATTCCCTTTCATAGAGCAGGTTGGAAACACTCTTTTTGTAATATCTGGATGTGGACATTTGGAGCGCTTTCAGGCCTATGGTGAAAAAGGAAATATCTTCCCCTGAAAACTAGACAGAAGCATTCTCAGAATCTTATTTGTGATGTGCGCCCTCAACTAACAGTGTTGAAGCTTTCTTTTGATAGAGCAGTTTTGAAACACTCTTTTTGTAAAATCTGCAAGAGGATATTTGGATAGCTTTGAGGATTTCGTTGGAAACGGGATTGTCTTCATATAAACTCTAGACAGAAGCATTCTCAGAAGCTTCATTGGGATGTTTCAATTGAAGTCACAGTGTTGAACAGTCCCTTTCATAGAGCAGGTTTGAAACACTCTTTTTGTAGTATCTGGATGTGGACATTTCGAGCGCTTTCAGGCCTATGGTGAAAAAGGAAATATCTTCCCCTGAAAACTAGACAGAAGCATTCTCAGAAACTTATTTGTGATGTGCGCCCTCAACTAACAGTGTTGAAGCTTTCTTTTGATAGAGCAGTTTTGAAACACTCTTTTTGTGGAATCTGCACGTGGATATTTGTCTAGCTTTGAGGATTTCGTTGGAAACGGGATTACATATAAAAAGCAGACAGCAGCATTCCCAGAAACTTCTTTGTGATGTTTGCATTCAAGTCACAGAGTTGAACATTCCCTTTCATAGAGCAGGTTTGAAACACTCTTTTTGTAGTATATGGATGTGGACATTTGGAGCGCTTTCAGGCCTATGGTGAAAAAGGAAATATCTTCCCCTGAAAACTAGACAGAAGCATTCTCAGAATCTTATTTGTGATGTGCGCCCTCAACTAACAGTGTTGAAGCTTTCTTTTGATAGAGCAGTTGTGAAACACTCTTTTTGTAAAATCTGCAAGAGGATATTTGGATAGCTTTGAGGATTTCGTTGGAAACGGGATTGTCTTCATATAAACTCTAGACAGAAGCATTCTCAGAAGCTTCATTGGGATGTTTCAGTTGAAGTCACAGTGTTGAACAGTCCCTTTCATAGAGCAGGTTTGAAACACTCTTTTTGTAGTATCTGGAAGTGGACATTTGGAGCGCTCTCAGGACTGCGGTGAAAAAGGAAATATCTTCCAATAAAAGCTAGATAGAAGCAATGTCAGAAACTTTTTCATGATGTATCTACTCAGCTAAAAGAGTTGAACCTTTCTTTTGAGAGAGCAGTTTTGAAACACTATTTTTGTGGAATCTGCAAGTGGATATTTGTCTAGCTTTGAGGATTTCGTTGGAAACGGGATTACATATAAAAAGCAGACAGCAGCATTCCCAGAAAGCTCTTTGTGAAATTTGCATTCAAGTCACAGACTTGAACATTCCCTTTCATAGAGCAGGTTTGAAACACTCTTTTTGTAGTATCTGGATGTGGACATTTGGAGCGCTTTCAGGCCTATGGTGAAAAAGGAAATATCTTCCCCAGTAAACTAGACAGAATCATTCTCAGAATCTTATTTGTGATGTGCGCCCTCAACTAACAGTGTTGAAGCTTTCTTTTGATAGAGCAGTTTTGAAACACTCTTTTTGTAAAATCTGCAAGAGGATATTTGGATAGCTTTGAGGATTTCGTTGCAAACGGGATTGTCTTCATATAAACTCTAGACAGAAGCATTCCCAGAAACTTCTTTGGGATGTTTGCATTCAAGTCACAGAGTTGAACATTCCCTTTCATAGAGCAGGTTTGAAACACTCTTTTTGTAGTATCTGGATGTGGACATTTGGAGCGCTTTCAGGCCTAAGGTGAAAAAGGAAATATCTTCCCCTGAAAACTAGACAGAAGCATTCTCAGAAACTTATTTGTGATGTGCGCCCTCAACTAACAGTGTTGAAGCTTTCTTTTGATAGAGCAGTTTTGAAACACTCTTTTTGTGGAATCAGCAAGTGGATATTTGTCTAGCTTTGAGGATTTCGTTGGAATCGGGATTACATATAAAAAGCAGACAGCAGCATTCTCAGAAACTTATTTGTGATGTGCGCCCTCAACTAACAGTGTTGAAGCTTTCTTTTGATAGAGCAGTTTTGAAACACTCTTTTTGTAATATCTGCAAGAGGATATTTGGATAGCTTTGAGGATTTCGTTGGAAACGGGATTAATTATACAAAGCAGACAGCAGCATTCTCAGAAGCTTCATTGGGATGTTTCAATTGAAGTCACAGTGTTGAACAGTCCCTTTCATAGAGCAGGTTTGAAACACTCTTTTTGCAGCATCTGGAAGTGGACATTTGGAGCGTTCTCAGGACTACGGTGAAAAAGGAAATATCTTCCAATAAAAGCTAGATAGAAGCAATGTCAGAAACTTTTTCATGATGTATCTACTCAGCTAACAGAGTTGAACCTTTCTTTTGAGAGAGCAGTTTTGAAACACTCTTTTTGTGGAATCTGCAAGTGGATATTTGTCTAGCTTTGAGGATTTCGTTGGAAACAGGATTACATATAAAAAGCAGACAGCAGCATTCCCAGAAACTTCTTTGTGATGTTTGCATTCAAGTCACAGATTTGAACATTCCCTTTCATAGAGCAGGTTTGAAACACACTTTTTGTAGTATCTGTATGTGGACATTTGGAGCGCTTTCAGGCCTATGGTGATAAAGGAAATATCTTCCCCTGAAAACTAGACAGAAGCATTCTCAGAAACTTATTTGTGATGTGCGCCCTCAACTAACAGTGTTGAAGCTTTCTTTTGATAGAGCAGTTTTGAAACACTCTTTTTGTAAAATCCGCAAGAGGATATTTGGATAGCTTTGAGGATTTCGTTGGAAACGGGATTGTCTTCATATTAACCCTAGACAGTAGCATTCTCAGAAGCTTCATTAGATGTTTCAATTGAAGTTACAGTGTTGAACAGTCCCTTTCATAGAGCAGGTTTGAAACACTCTTTTTGTAGTATCTGGATGTGGACATTTGGAGCGCTTTCAGGCCTGTGGTTTAAAAGGAAATATCTTCCCCTGAAAACTAGACAGAAGCATTCTCAGAAACTTATTTGTGATGTGCTCCCTCAACTAACAGTGTTGAAGCATTCTTTTGATAGAGCAGTTTTGAAACACTCTTTTTGTGGAATCTGCAAGTGGATATTTGTCTAGCTTTGAGGATTTCGTTGGAAACGGGATTACATATAAAAAGCAGACAGCAGCATTCTCAGAAACTTATTTGTGATGTGCGCCCTCAACTAACAGTGTTGAAGCTTTCTTTTGATAGAGCAGTTTTGAAACACTCTTTTTGTAATATCTGCAAGAGGATATTTGGATAGCTTTGAGGATTTCGTTGGAAACGGGATTAATTATACAAAGCAGACAGCACCATTCTCAGAAGCTTCATTGGGATGTTTCAATTGAAGTCACAGTGTTGAGCAGTTCCTTTCATAGAACAGGTTTGAAACACTCTTTTTGTAGTATCTGGAAGTGGACATTTGGAGCGCTCCCAGGACTATGGTGAAAAAGGAAATATCTTCCAATAAAAGCTACATAGAAGCAATGTCAGAAACTTTTTCATGATGTATCTACTCAGCTAAAAGAGTTGAACCTTTCTTTTGAGAGAGCAGTTTTGAAACACTCTTTTTGTGGAATCTGGAAGTGGATATTTGTCTAGCTTTGAGGATTTCGTTGGAAACGGGATTACATATAAAAAGCAGACAGCAGCATTCCCAGAAACTTCTTTGTGATGTTTGCATTCAAGTCACAGAGTTGAACATTCCCTTTCATAGAGCAGGTTTGAAACACTCTTTTTGTAGTATCTGGATGTGGACATTGGGAGCGCTTTCAGGCCTATGGTGAAAAAGGAAATATCTTCCCCTGAAAACTAGACAGGAGCATTCTCAGAATCTTATTTGTGATGTGCGCCCTCAACTAACAGTGTTGAAGCTTTCTTTTGATAGAGCAGTTTTGAAACACTCTTTTTGTAAAATCTGCAAGAGGATATTTGGATAGCTTTGAGGATTTCGTTGGAAACGGGATTGTCTTCATATAAACTCTAGACAGAAGCATTCCCAGTAACTTCTTTGTGATGTTTCCATTCAAGTCACAGAGTTGAACATTCCCTTTCATAGAGCAGGTTTGAAACACTCTTTTTGTAGTATCTGGATGTGGACATTTGGTGCGCTTTCAGGCCTATGGTGAAAAAGGAAATATCTTCCCCTGAAAACTAGACAGAAGCATTCTCAGAAACTTATTTGTGATGTGCGCCCTCAACTAACAGTGTTGAACCTTTCTTTTGATAGAGCAGTTTTGAAACACTCTTTTTGTAATATCTGCAAGAGGATATTTGGATAGCTTTGAGGATTTCGTTGGAAACGGGATTACATATAAAAAGCAGACAGCAGCATTCTCAGAAACTTATTTGTGATGTGCGCCCTCAACTAACAGTGTTGAAGCTTTATTTTGATAGAGCAGTTTTGAAACACTCTTTTTGTAATATCTGCAAGAGAATATTTGGATAGCTTTGAGGATTTCGTTGGAAACGGGATTGTCTTCATATAAACTCTAGAAAGAAGCATTCTCAGAAGCTTCATTGGGATGTTTCAATTGAAGTCACAGTGTTGAACAGTCCCTTATCATAGAGCAGGTTTGAAACACTCTTTTTGTAGTATCTGGAAGTGGACATTTGGAGCGTTCTAAGGACTACGGTGAAAAAGGAAATATCTTCCAATAAAAGCTAGATAGAAGCAATGTCAGAAACTTTTTCATGATGTATCTACTCAGCCAACAGAGTTGAACCTTTCTTTTGAGAGAGCAGTTTTGAAACACTCTTTTTGTGGAATCTGGAAGTGGATATTTGTCTAGCTTTGAGGATTTCGTTCGAAACGGGATTACATATAAAAAGCAGACAGCAGCATTCCCAGAAACTTCTTTGTGATGTTTGCATTCAAGTCACAGAGTTGAACATTCCCTTTCAGAGAGCAGGTTTGAAACACTCTTTTTGTAGTATCTGGATGTGGACATTTGGAGCGCTTTCAGGCCTATGGTGAAAAAGGAAATATCTTCCCCTGAAAACTAGACAGAAGCATTCTCAGAATCTTATTTGTGATGTGCGCCCTCAACTAACAGAGTTGAAGCTTTCTTTTGATAGAGCAGTTTTGAAACACTCTTTTTGTAAAATCTGCAAGAGGATATTTGGATAGCTTTGAGGATTTCGTTGGAAACGGGATTGTCTTCATATAAACTCTAGACAGAAGCATTCTCAGAAGCTTCATTGGGATGTTTCAATTGAAGTCACAGTGTTGAACAGTCCCTTTCATAGAGCAGGTTTGAAACACTCTTTTTGTAGTATCTGCAAGTGGACATTTGGAGCGCTCTCAGGACTACGGTGAAAAAGGAAGTATCTTCCAATAAAAGCTAGATAGAAGCAATGTCAGAAACTTTTTCATGATGTATCTACTCAGCTAACAGAGTTGAACCTTTCCTTTGAGAGAGCAGTTTTGAAACACTCTTTTTGTGGAATCTGCAAGTGGATATTTGTCTAGCTTTGAGGATTTCGTTGGAAACGGGATTACATATAAAAAGCAGACAGCAGCATTCCCAGAAACTTCTTTGTGAAGTTTGCATTCAAGTCACAGAGTTGAACATTCCCTTTCATAGAGCAGGTTTGAAACACTCATTTGTAGTATCTGGATGTGGACATTTGGAGCGCTTTCAGGCCTATGGTGAAAAAGGAAATATCTTCCCCTGAAAACTAGACAGAAGCATTCTCAGAATCTTATTTGTGATGTGCGCCCTCAACTAACAGTGTTGAAGCTTTCTTTTGATAGAGCAGTTTTGAAACACTCTTTTTGTAAAATCTGCAAGAGGATATTTGGATAGCTTTGAGGATTTCTTTGGAAACGGGATTGTCTTCATATAAACTCTAGACAGAAGCATTCTCAGAAGCTTCATTGGGATGTTTCAATTGAAGTCACAGTGTTGAACAGTCCCTTTCATAGAGCAGGTTTGAAACACTCTTTTTGTAGTATCTGGAAGTGGACATTTGGAGCGCTCTCAGGACTACGGTGAAAAAGGAAGTATCTTCCAATAAAAGCTAGATAGAAGCAATGTCAGAAAATTTTTCATGATGTATCTACTCAGCTAACAGAGTTGAACCTTTCTTTTGAGAGAGCAGGTTGGAAACACTCTTTTTGTGGAATCTGCAAGTGGATATTTGTCTAGCTTTGAGGATTGAGTTTGAAACGGGGTTACATATAAAAAGCAGACAGCAGCATTCCCAGAAACTTCTTTGTGATGTTTGCATTCAAGTCACAGAGTTGAACATTCCCTTTCATAGAGCAGGTTTGAAACACTCTTTTTGTAGTATCTGGATGTGGACATTTGGATCGCTTTCAGGCCTATGGTGAAAAAGGAAATATGTTCCCCTGAAAACTAGACAGAAGCATTCTCAGAAACTTATTTGTGATGTGCGCCCTCAACTAACAGTGTTGAAGCTTTCTTTTGATGGAGCAGTTTTGGAACACTCTTTTTGTAAAATCTGCAAGAGGATATTTGGATAGCTTTGAGGATTTCGTTGGAAACGGGATTGTCTTCATATAAACTCTAGACAGAAGCATTCTCAGAAGCGTCATTGGGATGTTTCAATTGAAGTCACAGTGTTGAACAGTCCCTTTCATAGAGCAGGTTTGAAACACTCTTTTTGTAGTATCTGGATGTGGACATTTGGAGCGCTTTCAGGCCTATGGTTTAAAAGGAAATATCTTCCCCTGAAAATTAGACAGAAGCATTCTCAGAAACTTATTTGTGATGTGCGCCCTCAACTAACAGTGTTGAAGCATTCTTTTGATAGAGCAGTTTTGAAACACTCTTTTTGTGGAATCTGCAAGTGGATATTTGTCTAGCTTTGAGGATTTCGTTGGAAACGGGATTAATTATAAAAAGCAGACAGCAGCATTCCCAGAATCTTGTTTGTGATGTTTGCATTCAAGTCACAGAGTTGAACATTCCCTTTCAGAGAGCAGGTTTGAAACACTCTTTTTATAGTATCTGGATGTGGACATTTGGAGCGCTTTCAGGCCTATGATGAAAAAGGAAATATCTTCTCCTGAAAACTAGACAGAAGCATTCTCAGAAACTTATTTGTGATGTGCGCCCTCAACTAACAGTGTTGAACCTTTCTTTTGATAGAGCAGTTTTGAAACACACTTTTTGTAATATCTGCAAGAGGATATTTGGATAGCTTTGAGGATTTCGTTGGAAACGGGATTGTCTTCATATAAACTCTAGACAGAAGCATTCTCAGAAGCTTCCTTGGGATGTTTCAATTGAAGTCACAGTGTTGAACAGTCCCTTTCATAGAGCAGGTTTGAAACACTCTTTTTGTAGTATCTGGAAGTGGACATTTGGAGCGCTCTCAGGACTGCGGTGAAAAAGGAAATATCTTCCAATAAAAGCTAGATAGAAGCAATGTCAGAAACTTTTTCATGATATATCTACTCAGCTAACAGAGTTGAACCTTTCCTTTGAGAGAGCAGTTTTGAAACAGTCTTTTTGTGGAATCTGCAAGTGGATATTTGTCTAGCTTTGAGGATTTCGTTGGAAACGGGATTACATATAAAAAGCAGACAGCAGCATTCCCAGTAACTTCTTTGTGATGTTTGCATTCAAGTCACAGAGTTGAACATTCCCTTTCATAGAGCAGGTTTGAAACACTCTTTTTGTAGTATCTGGATGTGGATATTTGGAGCGCTTTCAGGCCTATGGTGAAAAAGGAAATATCTTCCCCTGAAAACTAGACAGAAGTAGTCTCAGAAACTTATTTGTGATGTGCGCCCTCAACTAACAGTGTTGAAGCTTTCTTTTGATAGAGCAGTTTTGAAACATTCTTTTTGTAAACTCTGCAAGAGGATATTTGGATAGCTTTGAGGATTTCGTTGGAAACGGGATTGTCTTCATATTAAACCTAGACAGTAGCATTCTCAGAAGCGTCATTGGGATGTTTGAATTGAAGTCACAGTGTTGAACAGTCCCTTTCATAGAGCAGGTTTGAAACACTCTTTTTGTAGTATCTGGATGTGGACATTTGGAGCGCTTTCAGGCCTATGGTTTAAAAGGAAATATCTTCCCCTGAAAACTAGACAGAAGCATTCTCAGAAACTTATTTGTGATGTGCCCCCTCAACTAACAGTGTTGAAGCTTTCTTTTGATAGAGCAGTTTTGAAACACTCTTTTTGTGGAATCTGCAAGTGGATATTTGTCTAGCTTTGAGGATTTCGTTGGAAACGGGATTACATATAAAAAGCAGACAGCAGCATTCTCAGTAAACTTATTTGTGATGTGCGCCCTCAACTAACAGTGTTGAACCTTTCTTTTGATAGAGCAGTTTTGAAACACTCTTTTTGTAATATCTGCAAGAGGATATTTGGATAGCTTTGAGGATTTCGTTGGAAACGGGATTGTCTTCATATAAACTCTAGACAGAAGCATTCTCAGAAGCTTCATTGGGATGTTTCAATTGAAGTCACAGTGTTGAACAGTCCCTTTCATAGAGCAGGTTTGAAACACTCTTTTTGTAGTATCTGGAAGTGGACATTTGGAGCGCTCTCAGGACTGCGGTGAAAAAGGAAATATCTTCCAATAAAAGCTAGATAGAAGCAATGTCAGAAACTTTTTCATGATGTATCTACTCAGCTAACAGAGTTGAACCTTTCTTTTGAGAGAGCAGTTTTGAAACACTCTTTTTGTGGAATCTGCAAGTGGATATTTGTCTAGCTTTGAGGATTTCGTTGGAAACGGGATTACATATAAAAAGCAGACAGCAGCATTCCCAGAAACTTCTTTGTGATGTTTGCATTCAAGTCACAGAGTTGAACATTCCCTTTCATAGAGCAGGTTTGAAACACTCTTTTTGTAGTATCTGGATGTGGACATTTGGATCGCTTTCAGGCATATGGTGAAAAAGGAAATATCTTCCCCTGAAAACTAGACAGAAGCATTCTCAGAAACTTATTTGTGATGTGCGCCCTCAACTAACAGTGTTGAAGCTTTCTTTTGATAGAGCAGTTTTGAAACACTCTTTTTGTAATATCTGCAAGAGGATATTTGGATAGCTTTGAGGATTTCGTTGGAAACGGGATTGTCTTCATATAAACTCTAGACAGAAGCATTCTCAGAAGCTTCATTGGGATGTTTCAATTGAAGTCACAGTGTTGAACAGTCCCTTTCATAAAGCAGGTTTCAAACACTCTTTTTGTAGTATCTGGATGTGGACATTTGGAGCGCTTTCAGGCCTATGGTTTAAAAGGAAATATCTTCCCCTGAAAACTAGACAGAAGCATTCTCAGAAACTTATTTGTGATGTGCGCCCTCAACTAACAGTGTTGAAGCTTTCTTTTGATAGAGCAGTTTTGAAACACTCTTTTTGTGGAATCTGCAAGTGGATATTTGTCTAGCTTTGAGGATTTCGTTGGAAACGGGATTACATATAAAAAGCAGACAGCAGCATTCTCAGCAAACTTATTTGTGATGTGCGCCCTCAACTAACAGTGTGGAACTTTTCTTTTGATAGAGCAGTTTTGAAACACTCTTTTTGTAAAATCTGCAAGAGGATATTTGGATAGCTTTGAGGATTTCGTTGGAAACGGGATTGTCTTCATATAGAATCTAGACAGATCTATCTAGCTTTTATTGGAAGATATTTCCTTTTTCACCGTATTCCTGAGAACTCTCCAAATGTCCACTTCCAGATACTACAAAAAAGGTGCTGGAGAGGATGCGGAGAAATAGGAACACTTTTACACTGTTGGTGGGACTTTAAACTAGTTCAACCATTGTGGAAGTCAGTGTGGCGATTCCTCAGGGATCTAGAACTAGAAATACCATTTGACCCAGCCATCCCATTACTGGGTATATACCCAAAGGTCTATAAATCATGCTGCTATAAAGACACATGCACACGTATGTTTATTGCGGCACTATTCACAATAGCAAAGACTTGGAACCAACCCAAATGTCCAACAATGATAGACTGGATTAAGAAAATGTGGCACATATACACCATGGAATATTATGCAGCCATAAAAAATGATGAGTTCATATCCTTTGTAGGGACATGGATGAAATTGGAAACCATCATTCTCAGTAAACTATCGCAAGAACAAAAAACCAAACACCGCATATTCTCACGCATAGGTGGGAATTGAACAATGAGATCACATGGACACAGGAAGGGGAATATCACACTCTGGGGACTGTGGTGGGGTCGGGGGAGGGGGGAGGGATAGCACTGGGAGATATACCTAATGCTAGATGACACATTAGTGGGTGCAGCG